>NC_000004.12:114072896-114224411 GCF_000001405.40 Homo sapiens
TAAGAAAAGATTTAGACAGTTACACAATAATAGTGGGGAACTTCAAAACCTCACTGACAGCATTAGACAGATCACTGAGGCAGAAAACTAACAAAAAATTCTGGGCTTAAATTCAAGACTTGACCAATTGGATCTAATAGAAATCTACAGACTATCCCACCCAACAACCACAGAATACATATTATTCTTATCTGCACATGGAACATACTTTAAGATTACCACCTGCTCAGTCATAAAGCAAGTCTTAATAAATTTTAAAATATTGAAATCATAACAACCATCTTGTAAGACCACAGGGAATAAAAATAGAAATCAATACCAAGAGTAGCTCTTGCAGCCACACAAATACATGGAAACTAAACAAGTTGTTTCTGAGTGACTTTTTGGTAAACAACAAAATTAAGGCAGAAATGTAAAAATTCTTTGAATCAAATGAAAATAGAGGCACAACATACCAAAACCCCTGGAATGCAGCAAAAGCAGTGTTAAGAGGAAAGCTTATAGTGCTAAAAATGCCTACATCAAAAGATAGAAAGATCTCAAATTAACAACCTAACCTCATATCTGAAGAAAGTAGGAAAACAAGAGCAAACTAACCCCAAACCTAGCAGAAGAAAAGAAATAACTAAAGTCTGAGCAGAACTAAATGAAATTCAGACCAATAGAATCATACAAAGTTTCAATAAAATAAAAAGTTGGTTGCCTTTTGAACGGATAAACAAGATTGATAGACCGCTGGCTGTATTAACAAAGAAAAAAAGACAAGAGATCCAAATAAGCACAATCAGAAATGACAAATGTGACATCACAACAAATCACACAGAAATACAAAAGATCCTCAGAGACTACTATGAACATGTCTATGCACACAAACTAGAAATTCTAGAGGAAATGGATAAATTCCTGGAAACATACCACTTCCTAAGATAGAACCAAGAAGAAAATTAAATTCTGAACAGACTAATAACTATTAATGAAATTGAATTGGTAATAAGTAACCTACTAAGCAAAATAGCCCTGGACCATATGGATTAATAGCCAAATTCTACCAGATGTACAAGGAAGAACTGGAAACAATCCTACTGAAACTAGGATAAAGGGGGAGAAACTTCTCCCAACCTCATTCTGTGAAACCAGTATCATCCTGATACCAAAATATGGCAGAGACACAACAAAAAAGAAAACTATAGGTCAATCCTCTGATGAACATAGATGCAAATATCCTCAACAAAATACTAGCAAACTTAATCCAGTAACATATCAAAAAGTTAAATCACCACAAGCCAGCTTTATTTCTGGGATGCAAGGATGGTTCAACATAGGCAAATCAGTAAATGTGACTCACCATATAAAACAAATTAAAAACTAAAACCATATAATCATTCAATAGATGCAAGAAAGCATTTGACAAATCCAAAATCCTTTCATAATAAAAACCTTCAACAATCTAGGCATTGAAGAAACAAATCTAAAAATAGTAAGAATGATCTATGAAAAACCCACAGCCAACATCATACTGAATGGGCAAAAGCTGGCAGCATTCTCCATAAGTACTGGGAAAAGACAAGATTTTCCACTCATTACATAATAGTATTCAACTTAGTATCGAAGAGCTAAGCCAGAGCAATCAGGCAGGCAATACAAATAAAAGGCATCTAAATACAAAAAGAGGAAATCAAATTATCTCTCGTCACTGACAATATGATTCTTTATCCATAAAACCCTAAAGATTCTGCCAAAAGACTCCCAGCCCTGATAAATGAATTTGGCAGTGTTTCAGGATACAAACTCAATGGATAAAAATCAGTAGCATGTCTATACAACAATAATGTTCAAGCTGAGAACCAAATCAAGAACACAAAACCACTTACAGTAACCACATGCAAAAATAAAATACCTGGTATTACATTTAACCCAGGAGGTGAAAGACTTCCACAATGAGGAGTAGAACATACTGCTGAAAATATTATAGATGACACAAACAAATGGAAAAGCTTATGGATTCTATGCTTATGGATTGGATGATTCAATATTGTTAAAATGTCCAAGCTGCTGAAAACAATCTACAGATTCAATGCTTTTCCTGTACCTAGTTCAAAAGTAAACCAAAAAGAGACCATTGAAATAAAGCCACACATTGGCCAGGCACGGTGGCTCACACCTGTAATCCCAGCACTTTTGGAGGCTGAGGTGGGAAGATCACATGAGGTCAGGAGTTCAAGACTAGCCTGGCCAACATGGTGAAACCCTGTCTCCACTAAAAATACAAAAATTAGCCAGACATGGTGGTGGATGCCTGTAATCTCTGCTACTCAGGAGGCTGAGGTAGGAGAATTGCTTGAACCTGGGAGGCAGAGGTTGCAATGAGCCAAGATCATGCCATTGCACTCCAGCCTGGGTGAGAAGAATGAAACTCCATCTCAAAATAAAATAAAATGAAATGAAATGAAATGAAATGAAATGAAATGATGAAATGAAATGAAATGAAATAATGAAATGAAATGAAATGAATAAAATAAAATAATAAAATAAAATAAAATAATAAAATAAAAAATAAAAGCCACACATCTACAACCAACTGATCACCAACACAGTTGACAAGAATAAACAATGGAAAAATAAATGGTACTGGGAAAACTGTCTAACCATATGCAGAAGAATGAAACTGGATCCCTACCTCTCATTATATACAACAATTAACTCAAGATGAATTAAAGACTTAAATGTAAGACCTCAAACTACAAAAATACTGGAAGAAAACCTAGGAAATACTCTTCTAGACACTGGCCTAGGCAAAGAATTTATAACTAAGACCTCAAAAGCAAGTGCAACAAATAAAAAATTGACAGGACCTAATTTAACTAAAGAGCTTCTGCATAGCAAAATAAACTATCAATGGAATAAACAGACCACCTATGGAATGGGAGAAAATATTAGCAAAATATGCATCCAACAAATGACTAATATACAGAATATATAGGGAACTTACAAAAAATCAAAAAGAAAAAACAACCCCTCTAAAAAGTCGGCAAAGGACATAAACAGACACTTCTCAAAAGAAGATATACAAGTAGACAACAAATAAATGAAAAAATGCTCAACATCATTAATCATCAGAGCTACAAATGAAAACCATAATGAGATACCATATCACACTAGTCAGAATGTCTGTTACTAAAAAGTAAAAAAATAACTGATGGCAAAGTTGTGGAGAAAAGGGAATGTTTATACATTGTTGGTGGGAATGCAAGTTATTTTGGTGTCTGTGAAAAGCAGTTTAGAGATTTACCATTCATCCCAATAACCCCGTTACTATATTGAACCCAACAATCCCATTACTGGATATATACTGAAAGGAAAATAAGTCATCCTACCAAAAAGACATCTGCACTTGTATGTTTATGACAGCACTATTTATAACAGCAAAGACAGAATTAACCCAGGTGCCCATCAACAGTGGACTGGATAAAGAAAATATGGTACATATGCCCCATGGAATACTATGCAGCCATAAAAATGAATGAAATCTTGTCCTTTGTAACAACATGGATGCAGCTGGAGGTCATTATCCTAGGTGAGTTAATGCAAAAACAGAAAATCAAATACCACATGTTCTCACTTATAAATGGGAGCTAAACATTGGGTTCTCATGGAGACAAAGATGGAAACAATAAACACTGGCTATTCTAAAAGGGTGAAAGGGGACAAGGAAATAAGAGTTGAGAAACTACCTATCAGGTGCTTTGTTCACTACTAGGCTGATGGGATTACTAGAAGCCAAAACTTCAGCATCATGCAATATACTCATAAAGCAAATCTGCACATGTACCTCCAAATCTAAAATTAAATTAAAAATAAGAAAAAGAATTGTGATAATATATACCCAAAGCATAATACTGAAAACAATCCAATCTGTATTTTATCAGTGACTTGTTCTAAACTTATAACTGTAAACATTTGTATGAATAAAACTGATTAAAGTAAAAAAAAAATTTAAAAAAATACTGTTGCCTTTCTTGTACCAGACTCTTTACAGATGAAAGGCCTAGGTGTGATTAAAAAATGTTTTTTTTAAAAAAGGTAAAGTTATAGCTACTGGAATGAGACACATCAATTTTGTGGCAGTGAAGGGAAAACAATGACTTTGGCATGGGAAAGAAATTACTCAGACCACAGAAAATACTGGAAAGGGAAGGATATTAATCATCTTTTTTCTTTTGGAATCAGCCCTATAGCCTTTCTCATGAATGAGAAATGACTTGGGTGGCTTTTCCAAACTGTTGCAATTAAATTTAGCATACTGGTGAATCTTCTGTCCTCTGCTAGACAGCTTTGAGTACAATTTGACAATCATTCCCCTTAATATTACTAAGAAATTTATTGGAAATAACAGAGGATGGCCCAAGCTCCTGCATCTTCCATGCAAAACATCCGTCACCACCTCCAGATGTCTGTATCAGCTCCACTCCTGGAGCTGCTGCTTGTTCCATGGAGCACACAAATCCCACCCAGCTATGGTATAAGGCAAGACAACTGCTTGGACTTACTTCCCTCACTCACTGTCTCCAAAACCAAAGGACTCAACTCAGTTTTTGAACTGAACTGGGAACCCTAAGATCCATCATGTGGATATGAGAACAATTTGGAAGCACCATTAACATGTGCTACCCCAACTGAGGGCTCAATTATTGCAAACAACCTTTTCTTTGTAGAGTCACCATATGTGTCTCTGGGACTGAACATTTTGTGTGGATTCTAGGCATTCATTTGCTTCCCTCCTGAAAACACAGCTACTTGTTCCTCTGAGGCAGTCATCTGAGACTATCTAGATTTTAAGGAATACCATCAGTAGATCACATAGTTATCAGATGACATGGAGTTCTTTCCAATATGAAGCTGCTGTTGCTTACTCTGGGGAGCTTCCTGGATGAATCACTGAGTCATTAATTACATGGCCCCTGTTGGCAGTCATCCCTGTGATACAAATCATTCATTTAGGAAAGCATTGTGAGAAATTTGTCCCTAACTTTAGCTAAAGCCCTGGAAGCCATGCAGTTTAGCCTCCTCTCACTGTCCAGGATTGTTACAGATGATAGAATTATCCTTACATGCCATTGTGGACTCTACAGTCACCAAGTGGAAAGGCCAATACAGAAAGTTAAACAGAAAGCCACCTCATTTTCTATTTTGGGATGAATTATGTTTCCCTAAAATCCATATGTTGAAGTCCTAACCCCTAGTACCTCAGGATGTAACTGTATTTGGAGATGAGGTCTCTAAAGAGGTTAAATAAGATCATTATGGTGCACCTTAAGGCAATATGACTGTGGTCTGTATAAATCAAGGAGATCAGGACACAAACACATGCAGAAGAAAGACCATGTGAAGACAGCCATCTGTAAGCTAAGGAGAAAAGTTCTCAGAAGAAACTAACCATTTTGACACTTTGATCTTGAACTTAAGTTAAAATGATGTTATTAGTGTGTGGTCCTGATCCTGTATGACTGGTGTCCTTATAAGAAGAAGAAGAAACACAAAGGCTTCATGAACATAGAGGAAAGACTATGTGAAGATACAGTAAGAAAACAGCCATCTTCGAGAAAAGAAGTGAGGCCCCAGGAGAAACAAAACCTGCTGACACTTTGATCTTCAACTTTCAGCCTCCAGAACTGTGAGAAAAATATATTCCTCTTGTTGAAGCCAACCTAATATGTGGTTACTTTGTTATGGCAGCCCTAGCAGTCTAAAACACTTTCTAAGGTAGACCTTAAGCATTTGTGACATCTGTGAAGCTATTTGAGTCCAGAACTCTAGGGGCCTGGTTGAGGTCAGTACTGCTAGTTGCTCTCATCCTGTGATAGCAGTGTTAATTAAATGTTGCATGGGACAAATGGAATGGATTTGGTTTGAGGCTTTGTGAGTCAAATTAATCAAAGTGGCTGATGGAATTGGGAAATGGTGTACTCATGAAAAAATTCACCAGAAGTTAAGATGATGTAAAAGTGAGGAGTGAATTTTGTTGGGACACAATAAGGTTGCCTCATGTTTTTTAGCATCTTGTGAGCAGAGGCACTGACTGACTATTCTGAATTATCTTTACACAGATGTTTGTATAGGAACAGCCTTGGGAGATAGAAAGATTATTTCCATTTGGAGTAAAGGGCCGGCATGCTTATTGTTCATAATACAAGATTTGAGTTCCCTAAGCTCAGGGTCTCTCTCCTGTATTGTAACTCATGTTGCATGTAGATGTTATTCAGCAATTGTGTGGCAGTCTGGCAAGTGGAACTCCAGGAACTATGACAAAATGTGTCACAATTTCTTATTGAAAAGAAAAATAGGAAATAACTGAAATCTATTTCAAATAACCCATTGATCAGCTGGGGGCCACACTCTTTTTTAAATATCTGAGTGTATTAGACTCTTTTTACACTGCTATAAAGAACACCTGAGACTGCGTAATTTATAAAATAAGAAGGGGTTTATAATTCACTCACGGTTCTGCATGGCTGAGGAGGCCTTAGGAAACTTACCATCATGGCGGAAGGGGAAGCGAGGAACCTTCTTCACAAAACAGCAGGAGAGAGAGAGAGCGTGTAGGGGGAAGAGCCCCTTATAAAACCATTAGATCTTGTGAAAACTCACTCACTGTCATAAGAACAGCATGAGGGAATTGCCCCTATGATCTAATCACCTCCCACCAGGTCCTTCCCTCAACACATGGAGATTATAATTCGAGATGAGATTTGGGTGGGGACACAAAGCCAAACCATATCACTGAGAAAATTTGTTATAAATATCCTTAATTCTACCTTGCCTTTCTGCATATTTCTAGATCAATTGACATGGATGCCTTGTGACTCCTACATAACTGGATTCATTCTCTGAATGTGTACCTTATTTGGATTGTGAAGCAGTTTTTCGGGAATAAACAAGTTCCCCAAACTCAAAAGGAAATGTACGCTTTACATACATGCAGTTTTTATATGTCAGTTAATACCTCAAAAAACTGTATAAGGAAAAGGAACACACATTATTTTGGATTTATGACTACCTTGTTGGACCACACATTGAAAAACCTACTCACATGTCCCTAGGTCTTCAATAAAGTCGAATATATAAAAAATATTCTATATAAAGACATGCTTTTTCCATTTTATGTAATTTTTTGACTAAAGGATGGGATAAATATGACATATAGAAGAGCACAGCAGACTCAGAATGAATGAGGTCAGCTGGAGACCAGAAGGTCACACTTGACTTTGTTGTCATTTTTATAATACTGTGTATGTTATATCTACATGTGATTAAGAACCCCTAAATATATTGTTATTATTTTTACTTTGAGTATTCGATTACCTTTTTAGAAAAGACTAAAAAGAAATGAAAAGTATTTTATATTTGCCCACATTTTTACCATTTCTAGTGGTCTGTATTCCTCTCTATAGATTCAGATTTTTATCTGTTATCATCCTCTTTTTGCATGAAGGCCTCATACATGTATGTGTAAAATGTTGCAGTGAATGTCTACTGTTAAGCTTTTGTATATCTGGGAAAGTCTTTATTTCATCATTTTTGAAAATTATTTTCACTAAGTAGAGAATTCTAGTTACCTTAAAAAAAACCTTTCAGTTCTTTAAAGATATTGCTCTACTGTTTTCTGGCTTGCCTTGTTCTGACATGAAATCTTTGGTTATTTGTTCCTCTGTAAATCTCATATATATATTTTTCCCTCTGGCTGCCCTTTGAGATTTCATTTTAGATGTTTATAAGCAATTTGATTTTGATATGCCTTAGGGTAGTTTCTTTAAATTTTGTACTTGAGATGTATTGGGCTTCTCAAGATCTATGGATTTATTGCTTTTATTTAATTTCAAAAATTTTAGGCCATTACCTCTTCATATATATATATTTCGTTCTATCTCCACCTTCCCTGCCTTCTTTTGGGGACTTAAATTACATGTAAATTAGGCTACTTGATGTTATCCTGCAGCTTACTGGCTCTGAATTTTTTCTTCAGTCCTTTTTTCTCTCTGTTTTTCATTTTGGATTATTCATATTGCTATTTTTTTAAGTTCACTAATTATTTCTTCTGTGGTGTCTGATCTGCAGTTCACCCAATGCAGTGTATTTTTCTTTTAGATATTATCTTTCTTTCTTTATAAGTTTGATTTTTGTATTTTTAGAAAAACATCTTCTCATATCTCTACTCAGTATATTCTGGCTTTACTTTTTCTCTACGGAAAAGCTTCAAAAACTGTTTTAATGTCCTAATCTATCATCTAGGTATTGTCTCTGTTTTTTTTTGAGTGTGCATCTATTGACAGATTTTTTTTTTCCTCATTAAGTGTTGTATTTTACTGATTCTTTGCATAGCTGGTAATTTTCAGCTGGATGGCAGACACTGAGAATTTTACCTTGTTGGATGTTTTGAGCTTTGATCTGGGATGTAGCTAAGTTACATAAAAACAGTTTGATCATTTTGAGGCTTGTTTTCCTCCTCCTCCTTCTCCTCCTCCTTTTCTTCTTTAAGGTGGGACATGGAACAACCTTTAGTCTAAAGCTAATTTTACTGCACCATTTAGGTGATCTACCTGACACCCTGTGAATTACAAGTTTTTTCCAATCTGACTACAGACAGTCCCTGACTTACCATCGTTCAGCTTTACAACGGTGTGAAACTGGCACAACTCCAATGTAATGTACAGTACTCAATAAATTACATAAAATATTCAAAACTTCATTATAAAATAGGCTTTGTGTTAGATGATTTGCTCAACTGTAAGCCAATGTAAGTGTTTTGAGCACATGTAAGGTAGGCTAGGCTAAGCTATAATGTTTGATAGGTTAGGTATATTAAATGCATTTCTACTTAAAATATTTTCCAGCTTGCAGTTGGTTTATCAGACATTACCCCATTGTAAATCAAGGAGAATTTGTAGTGAGAATATGAGAATATAATCATTCCCACACCTGTTTGAGGTCTAGGGATTGTTTCTTTTAGTGTTTCTTTGCCTGGCCTTGGGTGGTTTTCTTATGCAAATATGCTCATCAGAGAGTCATTGGAGCTCTCTCTCTGTGCAGCTCTCTCTTCTTCTGTCCTCTGCCTTTTAAATGTTGGCTTGGCTTTTCTGGTCTTCCAACTTTGTCTCTTCCTCCTAGGGTTACCTTTGGGATCTACCAAGATTCCTCCTGCCTAGGCTGCCACACTCTCTGGAGGTAATAGCTAGGGTAATTACAGGAATGATTTCAGTCACTTCTTTTTTAGGAATCACTGTTCTGCACTGCCTTTTTGTTGTAAAAATATTTTGTCGGGCCGGGTGCGTTGGCTCATGCCTGTAATCCTAGCACTTTGGGAGGCCAAGGTGGGAGGATCATGAGAAGATCGTGACCATTATGGCGAACACAGTGAAACCCCATCTCTACTAAAAATACAAAAAATTAGCCGGGCGTGGTGGTGGGTGCCTGTAGTCCCAGCTACTCAGAAGGCTGAGGCAGGAGAATCGCTTGAACCCAGGAGATGGAGGTTGTAGTGAGCCGAGATCGTGCCACTGCACTCCAGGCTGGGCAACAGATCGAGACCCTGTCAAAAAAAAAAAAAATTGTCTAGTTCTTTAGTTGTTGCTGGCAGGAGGAGGGTAAATCTGGTTCCTATTAATCTATCTTGGCCACAGGAAGTAATGAAACCACTTAAAAACTTGTATTACACATTTTTTGTTCTTCAAAAGTTGCTTTCTGGCTCTCTTGCCACTGAAGGTCCTTTGCCCTCCGCCACCTCCCTCAGTGCAGCCCGTTTCTGCTCTTGTCTTTCTTTCCAAAGCCCTTTCCTTTAGCTTTGACACAGCAATTGCTCCTTTTCTCTAAATCTTCCATTCTAGCTGGTTTTCAAAGTTCCTGCTCTACTCCTGCCAACAGGTAGTTTCCAAAGATAGCTCTTATTTCTAAGAATTATTGGGATTACTTTTTAAAAATGTCCAATTCATAAGCCTTAAACATTTAACCACCTTCCCATTCTCCCTCCCATTCTCCCTTGCTTTTTTAAAAATTGTAGGAGTAGGAGATAGAGATGCATTTAAACAGATGGAGGAGCCCAAGAATGAAGGTACAGTGGAGTTGCTTGTCCATGTTCCTGTTTAAATTGAACCTCTTCATGAATGCATAAATACCATCTCTATTTTGTGTTAAAAAGACCTTTTCCCTACAATTATCTATTTTCTTTTCTCCAAGGGAACAGAAGCACGATATGCAATCTCTCAGCTTAAAAATGGCCCTCCCTTTTGCCACATGCTTTCTCAGGTTACTGCTTCATTTTGCTGCTCCTCTTTATATCAAAACTCCATGCCACAATACTACCACAAACTCACTCCCCCAAACTCACTGTCCCACTTCTCCTTCCATTGTCTCTTTGGCTTACCCTAATCACTCAAAAACAAAAACAAAAGGCAAAACCAACACACACACATAAAATAAAACCACAAATTAAATAAGCAACTGTTCTTTTTCACCATCTTTCCCTCTGTTATGGGTTGAATTGTGCCTGTCAAAATTCACATGTCAAAGTCCTAACTCTCAGTACCTCAGAATGTGACTATATATTTGGAGAGTCTTTCAATGTATAATTAAATTAAAGACAGTTAAGAGGCTGGGCCCTAATTCAATCTGACTGATGTTTTTATAAGAATAGGAGATTTGGACCCAGACACATACAGAGGAAGCACCATAGGAAAATGGCTATCTACAAGCCCAGGAGAGAGGCCCCCGAAGAAACCAATACTGCTGACACATTGAACTCAAGATTGTAGCCTAAGGAATTGTGAGAAAACAAATTTCTGTTGGTTAAGCCACCCAGTTTATGGTACTTTGTTATGGCAGCCTTAGCAATGAATACTTTCACCCTCACACTGCTCAAATGACACTGCCTTCTGTGAACATACCAACCACATTTCTGCCCAGGTCCTTACTATTCCCTTTTGTTGGAATGTTCTGCTTTCAGATACCCACATAACTTGGTAATTTTATTCAGGTTCCTTCTTGAGTGTCGCCTGTCAGAGAGGACTCCCTTAACCCTCACACCACAAACACTCTTTGTGTCTTTGTATTTTCTCTCCCTTTTAATTTTCTCCTACCACTTATCACAACACACACACACACACACACACACACACACAGAGAAGTGTGTGTTATTTGGTTCTACTCTTTTATGACTTGGAGGAATTATTAATGACATCAGTGTCTCTGGTCAAAAAAAGAGGGAACACATGAAAAGAATAAAGCAGGCAAGAGAAATAGTTAGATTCTAAACTCACTCTGTTAGTTTGTTTCTTCAATCATTATGCCCCTTATCCAATCTCATCTACAATAAATTCAGAAAATCACAGTTTTCATAAAGAAACTCATAGGAGCAGGTGATTTATGAATGTGAATTAGATTAAAAAATGTTTAATACTTCTGAGGAAATGACCAAACCATTAGATGGTTATTAATATTACTATAGTTCAAACTTACATTAATGACCAATTTTTAGAACCTTAAAATCTCAGATTCCATGTTCTTTCAACCCAACAAAGTCATGTAGTTTAAAATCATTCATCTTAAATTACTTTAAACCATATTCAATAAGAATATGTGTTTAATAGCACTGAAATTGCTCATTTAGAGTTTATTAATCCCCCTCTTCTTTTTATAATTGCTCATTTAAAAACTCTTCATGTAACAGAAAACCAACCACTGCAGATTCTCACTCATAGGTGAGTTGAACAACAAGAACTCATGGACACAGAGCGGGGAACATCACACACTGGGGCCTTTCAGGGTGTGGGCAGCTGGAGAAAGGATAGCATTAGGAGAAATACCTAATGTAAATGATGAATTGATGGGTGCAGCAAACCAACATGGCACATGTGTACCTATGTAACAAACCTGCACGTTGTGCACATGTACCCTAGAACTTAAAGTATAATAATAATAATAATAACTCTTCATATAAACTCCAGAGTCAATAAAGACTCTTTAGGGGCAATGCAACAGTACCTTGCCCAGAGTTGACAGGCAAAGAGACACAATCTTATCAAACTTAGTATGTGTGGAGCACTTTACACAGGCTCTCACCCTTAATCTTCATGAAAACAGGTAAAATAAATATGACCACCCCTATTTTACTGATAAGAAATGGATATTAATTGGATTTACTGAGTTGCACAGAGTCACACAGCTAGAAAAGACAAGCCCTATTTTTCTATACAGAATTCATAAACAAGTAATGCTTTTATTTTGCAATGGGTGCTATAAAAATATTTTTCTAAGGGTACAAAGTTTCAGTTGAAGAAATATGTTTTTTGAGATCTATGACACAGCATGGTGACTATAGCTAATAATCATGTATACTTCAAAATTGCTTAGAACAAATTTCAAATGGTTTTAACATGCAAAATAATTATTCTTAAAAAGCAGCTTTTGTTCATGGCCATCTACACTTTATTTTTTCAGAAATAATGGTGAAAAACAAATCTGCATATAATAATTATTTTAAATTAGCTGTGTTTCTTTTCCCACTAAATTACAACTCAAACATTTTTGTTAAACACACTGAACCAAGAACAAAGCATAATTAATGAAATAACAGAAAAAGGAATTTTTAAATGTAAAATAACATATTAGAGTTGATAAGAAAAGGCTTATTAGACTAAATGGAGATTCTGATAATTCACTTATTAAATAATTTATTTGAACTTAAAGCTTTTGGATACATCTTCTGCAATGTCCCTTGGAGATCATCTAATTTTTCAATACTTGACATTTGAGAGTTGCAGTTTGCTGCAGATAGTCATGTTGTCATTTAACCACTTTCACACATCTTACTGTGTTCTCTTCTCTATAACCCTCTCACAGGGCTCTTCCCCAGCAATTGTCTGTTATCCTGGAGCTCACAGCAAGCTCAACAGCTCCCTGAGGTCATCTTCAATCATTAAGCAGGGCTTGCAATGTTATCTTTTTGTTGTCTTATAAATGAAACTATAAGAAAAAAAAACTCCTTTGTAAAAAATACATTCCCTTTTCTGCAGTGGTCTGAATTCTACAGAGTATCACTCAATTTTGTCATAAACCACTTGTTTCATATTGTACTATGTAATATTTTATTCATATTATATAATCCTCTGGAGTGCACTTATTTTCAAAATACTGTTTGTATTCCTTTAGGTGTCTCCCTCCAGTTTTTATTTTTTTGTCTGTCTCCAGGGCTCTGCATATATTTTCACCTTTCACTAGTAGTTAATTTCAAAATGCAATTAAAAAGAATTCCATTGAGAATAGCAGGCAATAACTGGCTTCTCTGTGTTCAATCCTTATTAAAGAGCAGGAAAGATGCTTTTTAACTAAGAATGTTTAGAATAGAGGACAAAGAGAATCTTTGGGTACATTATTGAATATTTTGGCATTAATATAGTATGGTATATTAATGGATAATTAAATAAATTTTGCCTCTGCATTTGTCTTTTAGGTTATTTTTAGAAATAATTATTAATGCAATATAAAGGAAAATTTTGATCCCTGGGTTCTTTAAAAATAAAAACATACATCATATTTTGTGTTCTCCTAGTTAACAAACTACTAGATTATTTTACTGTGTGTTTAAACCTGAGCATTGAGTGGTGTACATAGAACCTGGCTCCATTAGATTAAGTATCCTGTACACCAACGGATTCAGGAGGGTTTGACAAAAAATGCAGGACACTTCCTTAAAGCACTCCACAAACTATGCATGAGAGTTATTTCTGCAACTTCAGAATGTTTATGGCATAGTCCAGAGTAATACCAACATTTCAATTTTATAAGAGCAAATTATCCTGGTGAGGCATGATGCAGGAAATTTTTGAAAAGGATGGAAGTCTTTATGAGCATGTAAAATAACATTCCCATAAAGTTGCTGGTGGCCTTATTGACAATAAAAGGGAAACCTAATGCCAGATGAATCCTGACTCTTAACAGGTGAACGGACATCGTGTAGAGATGGTAGATAGTCATTGTCAACCAAAATTTTCTGCTCGATGATTCTGTGGTGAAAATTTTACCATATTTATGGCCTGGAATATGAGGTATTATTTGTAAACTTCAGTCCAGCAATAATAGTCACAGACTTTCGTAAATATAATCTTTAATACTGACAGTGTACAAGTTTTTAAAGTTTTTTTACCAAGTATTTTATGGTAATTATACTTCTAACAATTATTATTTTAACTGTAGCAACTGATTTCTGCACTATCACTTTAGTGTCGGGTAGAGATGGTAACTCTGCATCAATTCATTCGCCCAATACTTCAGTTTTATATTCTCTCCCCACACTCTCTTTTTAATGTTCATTCAACATTGAATGTACACTGTGGGTCAAGAATAATGATTCCACATATATTATGTTATTAAATAGCTTCAATTTTCACAACAATAACTAATCCTCATAAAGTTATCAGAAGCAAACAAATCATCAAGGGTGACATTAAAACAAGAAGGAAGACAGCACATACATTTTAAATAAACAAACTTGGATTGTGAACATGAAGGGAGCTTTGCATTTCCATAAAGAAAAAAAGAAGACAATATTTTTACAGAAAGAAAAGCAGGAACTAATAATTCTTAGCATTTAAAAATTCTAATCACATTGCTCTATCTATGATTTTAAAACTATAAAGCAAGAATCTGTTAAAGTTACTACAGGATCTGTCTGATTAAAAATTGACACAGGCCATAGGCATTTAATGGCTGGCAACCACACTACTCTTAATTTTGTTTCTCCCTGAAGAATGTATGAGGAGGAAACCTTGTTGAATGAAATCTAGGCCAAGCAAACATATGGCAGTGGGATTTCTTTTGGATGAGGTAATTTTAAACTGAGATTTCTTGGAGAAGAATTTTTTCCCTGCAGACTTTTATAACAGTATCCTTTAAATCTGGTCATGACAAACTGGAGAAAATTATCCTGTAAAACTTGAGAATATGCTCAATTCTGTTCTCTGAAATCAATTCTGGGAAGATATCCATATCATTTTGGAATAGCAAACAGATTTGTCTGGTGGAATTTTGCCAGGAAAAAAAAGTAATGTAGACATGTTGTGCTTTATTGTAGAAACACAAAGCATTCCTCTCTGCTAATGATTTATGAACAGGAAAATGAGGCATCTTTGCAATTATCACCTTCCCTTTATGCTGAAATATTCTGTTTACATCACTGCATACGTGTTCACATCACTTCAAATGTTGTCACTGTATATTACTAGGCATATGGTTATAATCCTATTTGAAAAAACAAAACAGCAATATATCACATAGCAATAAGCATTTTAGCTATTACTTCAATCTAGCCCAAATCCCACATTAATATTAGTTTGATAATATGAATAGGTTAAATTTCATTAAACAAACAAGACTGTTACAATTGCTTAATTCTCTATTTAATACTTAGACATTGTTATTACAATAGGTAACATTAGCAATAACAATGACCAGACAATGACCCCTTTCAAGAAGACAGCCATTGTGTTCACTTTACATTATTAAATATAAAATTGCTTCCATTGTGTTATTTATTCTTTAAAGTAGTCCCTTAATGTATGCATTATACCATTTTACATATGAGTACACTGAAGTATAGAGAGGTTAAGCAATGTGCCCAAAGTCACACAGACAACAATCAGCAGAGCTAGGATTCAAGCTCAAACTTTAAATATGCTAAAGCAATAGGAGAAGGCTTGTTGAAGAAAGTGGTGTATGTTTTGCAAACTACTTAGTCATGATTCAATGGGAAGAATTTCTGATATGTGGAATAATGGGACCAAAGAGCAACAATAGAGTGAAGATGTGCAGGACACAAATGTGTGTGGGCAGTCTGAAATGATAAAACATAAAGGGTGTAGAGAAATCTACATAACTCAAGCAATAAAAATATTGTCTTATAATAAAAATTAATTAGTATCAAACTGTAACACAGTTCCTTGGGAAAAAATATCTCTAAAGTTTTGAGGGAAATATATTACATGAGAAGATGACCAAGCTATTATTTATGTGTGAAGGCAATTGAAAGTCTTAGGAATATGAGGAATGAGAAAAAAATTACAGCTCCCATAATCATCCTGGAAAAAAAAAGCCTTGAAAAATTATGCCAATGGAGAAATAAATCGGAACACTCAAGATTGAAGAAGAGGAAGCATAATAAAAAGAAATGGGCAATAAACCCAGTGAAACTTAAAGTTATTGTCTAAAAGTTGTGGTTATTATTACTAAATAATGCAGCTGTTGATATGGTTTCGCTGTGTCCCCACCCAAATCTCATCTTGAATTGTAGCTCCCATAATCCTCAAGTGTTGTGGAAGGGACCTGGTGGGAGGTAACTGAATCATGGGAGCAGGTTTTTCCTGTGCTGTTCTTGTGATAGTAAGTCTCACAAGATCTGATGGTTTTATAAAGGGAAGTTCCCTTGTACACACTTTCTTGCCTGTCACCATGTAAGACATGACTTTGCTCCTCCTTTACCTTCCACCATGATTGTGAAGCATCCCCAGCCATGTGGTACTGTGAGTCTATTAAACCTCTTTTTCTTTATAAATTACCCAGTCTCAGGTATTTCTTGATGGTAGTGTGAAAATAGACTAATATAGCTGTCAAATTGTTCATAAATTAATGGTACATATTGTAAAGTAGTAACAAAATATGGAAGTAAGTTTTGGATTATTCCAACAACAACAGCAAAAAGAAAGTATGAGAGAAGCAACTGGGAATAAAATGAAGTTTTTATGTTAAAATGAGGGAATGAGTAATTATTGTTTTTTGATTTATAATGTTAGAAAAGTATATGTTCACATTTTAAAAAGTGTATAGATAACTATTAATAGAGTTAAAAACAAAATATAGAACATTTGAGTCTTTAGAGAAAAAGCATGAGCTAAGAAACCATGCTCAATACATGAAGATAAAAACAAAAACAGAAATATAAGAAAATATAAAATAAGATTACAAATAAACAAAGTTGTCAGTTTTTATTACAAATATGATTGAGTTCAAAGTCTTATTAAAATAAGAGACTCAGTTTAAAGAAATAAATTATAAAATAGTTCAATGACATTCTGCTTATGATACACAAAATAAAATATTAAACTAAGAAGAAGGCTAAAATAAACATTGCAAATATTATCCAGGCATTGAAAGCACAAAAAATCAAGAACAACAATATTAATAACAGATGATATAAAAATTCAAGACAAAAAGGCTTAAAATAACAAAAAGAATGGCTTATATTTGCAATGTCCAACTTATAGTTAAAATATAGAGATAACGAACATTCATGCTCTAAATAACATAATTTCAAAATCTGCAAAGCAAAAATTGTTAGAAATATGGAATAGTAAAAGAGGATATGTTACAAGCAAAGAAAGATTTTTAATCTGATCATTTTTATGTCAAGTAGACAAAATACATATGTAAATAATTTAAATAAACCTGCAAATAAATTTCATATCAAAATGATTCTTCCTCAAGATTCTCCTCAGCTACTGATTATCAACTTTTTTTTCCCCCACACTGTCTCCTGCTTATCCTCTGAATCTCATTTTCTTGATGTGTAGACACCCTAACATAATAGAGAATTATATCCAGCCTTCTGTATTTGTCCAGTACTTCCACATCCAGCACCTAAGACTATCTTTAAATATGAGAAAGGCCAGTGAACAGAAGAGCCACTGGTAATTAATATTTTCATCATCTTAAAAAGTGGAAGAGGTTAGGTGTGATAGAAAAAATATAAAAAGCAAATGTATTTTTCAGTTACAAAGATGTTTTGTATTAATTTATAGTGGGACAAAGTATAGTGTAAATCAAATGGTATTAAGCATGAAGTAATTCTGTTCTGTAAAACTTTCAGATGCTTTTCTGGGTGATGTGTGGAGAATATAAATAGTATTTACTATAGCAAAAGGAATATTATTGTATTCTTTTTTCAGTCCAATATTTTACGTATTTTAAGCTTCCTTTCCCATTGGGGATGGAATATCTTTTTCAAAAAATAAATAATGTAACACCCATTTCCCATAATCTTTGACTGTTGGATGTTGAACCAATGTAGAAATATCAACAACAGTCAGACACAGAGGATTCAAGTTAAATTGTCTGATTAATGAACCTAGAACAAGAGCATATTGGACAGTACCAGGAGTGTTGTAAGACAAGCAAAGAGCCAGATCAGTTTAGAACAGTCTAAAGTTACCCCTAGATCCTAAGTGAGGAGAGGCTGTAATCAGATATCAGAATTGTATCTTGTATATTGCCTATAGTTACTATGTTACTTTGTATATAATCATGGGTAGTAACATATTTAATTCTTGCCGTTTTTTGTTTTGTTTCATTTTGTTTTGTTTTTGAGAAACAGTCTGGCTCTGTTGCCCAGGCTTGAGTGCAGTGGTGTGATCTTGGCTGACTGCAACCTCCATCTCCTGGGCTCAAGCCCTCTTCCCACCTCAGCCTCCCTAGTAGGTGAAACTACAGGCACATGCCACCATACCCAGCTAATTTTTGTATTTTTTGTAGAGGCATGGTTTTGTCATGTTGCCCAGGCTGGTCTCGAACTCCCGAGCTCAAGCAATCTGCCCGCCTTGGCCTCCCAAAGTGCTGGAATTACAGACATGAGCCACTGCACCCGGCCTTTAATTCTTAGTTAAAGTGTAGTGAAGTGAGGATTAAAATATTTGTTTTTAAGTAGGGAGATGAACCAAGAGGACCTTCCCTGATTAATAGGGCAGAAATTCTACTGCCAAGAATAAAGAAAAACTAGGTTAACAGCATTCTTTAAAAGACAGTCTAAATGAAGCTTTTTTTCCTAAAGGTTTTCATTTTTTGCCTCATTTCATAAACACAGCAAAGAAGGAAGTTCCAAGATCAATTATTTCACATTCAAGAACTGATTAGATAGTAATGTTTGTGGAGGAAAATAGTCTCTTCTGGTATGTAGAATCTGGTTGCTTGTTGGGTCTGGCAATTAACTGAATGATGTGAACATCATTCTTTTAGGCTATAAAACCTCAATCCATTCATTCTCCCTGACACTAGTGCTGCCACATTGAGAATATTCTAGAAAGATGTATTCTCTAAGGCTCTGATTAGAAACTTAAAGCAAAGAAATCACAACAAAGTTTTAAAGTCTGAGTTTAATATTTCTCACTGTAGAAAGAGAATTGATTTTAGAGTAATTTTAGGAAATGCTAAAGCAAATGGTTTGTTTATCATATACCGGGATAGAAATAGGGTATCTTACATAGTTTAAAGTCATCTTCTTGCAGAATTTCAAGTTATAGCATTTAAGAGCTGTAACCTTCTTCACTTGGAAAAGGTTGGTAATTATTCCCATATAAAGAAAAGCATGGGATTTGGAAGAAAAATCGTTCTTCATTCTGAAAAAAATTTGATTTTTGCTTGATAGGAAAAATCTATATTATCCTATACAGATATCATATTGTATACATGTGGTATACTTATATTACATGATAGTAAAGAAATGACAGAAAAGGTCTGCCTGTATTGGATATACATTTCAACTTAGTTTTATATAAAATATTTGGTTCTGTAAGAGAATATGAAATTGAATTTATCAATACAATAATTTATAATCTAAAATATTTTATTCCAATTTCTCTCTACAAATATATGTTTATATTGTAGAGTCAACTGAAAAAATAATAAGTGAATTTGTAATTAATAAGGTGCATTTTCAAGGACACATTTATTTATTTGTTTATTTATTTTGAGACAGAGTCTTACTCTGTCACCCAGGCTGGAGCACAGTGGCATGATGTTGGCTCACTGTTACCTCCCAGGTTCAAGCGACTGTCCTGTTTCAGCCACCGAGTGGCTGGGATTACAGGCATGAACCACCACACTTGGCTAATGTTTGTATTTTTAGTGGAGATGGGGTTTCACCATGTTGATCAGGCTGGTCTCAAACTCCTGACCTCAGATGATCTGAGTGCTGGGATTACAGGCGTGATCCACTGCACCCAGCTTACACATTTATTCTTGAGGATATGAGTTTCACTATGTATATATGGTGAAAAGTAATTGTCACTATTTCTGTTTCTGGTTGTTATATTTACATTCTCTAATTACTCTCTTCCAACTCCACCATTAAATAAAAGAAAGCTTTGCATGTATAGATTTCTTGTAACTTTTTCAAAATTACTAGTTATTTCTAGCATTAATTCCTTTATTAGATTAAAACCATCTCATATATAGCCATCCAACCTATGCTTCCTTCACAATTTAAAAAGTAGCATTTACACTGGCAAATCTTTCAACTACCATCTATTAAATTTAATGTGTCCCTCAATGACTGTTCAATGGTGTAACCATTTTCTAACATGTACTTTACTAGCATGCCATAATGTATAATCCCAGGGGACTAAGAGGAATTTATGGTAAAATGGCATGAAATTAACTTGATAAGGCTTTCCATTCATCTTCAATATATATGTTTTTTCTATTTAAACACTGGTAACCTTGTTTCAAAAGTGTGGAATAAGAGAAGTGTTTTTTCACTCTGGTTAAATAATGTCCTCATATTGTAGGTTCTTCTATGAAACTGTATAACTCTGTTTGACTCTGTTTAATGTCCTCAGGAAATGTTGAAGGAAAAATACTTCCCTTGTATTATTGACCACAACTTACATATTTCAAGTTGACTGTTACACAGGACTTTAAGGAATGGATTGTGTTGTTTTTTTTGTTGTTGTTTTTTCTCTTTTAGAGAAGACTATTGAGATTAGAGAGAAATATCTTTAACAATTTTTTAAACTGATTTTAAACTGTTCCAGTATTTTAATTCTAATTCTTTTAAGAAAATAATAGAGGACTAATTTCATTCTCAAGGTAAACACCTGTATACATGTAAAGCTGTTAATATGGCATATATAACTTTAAATACAGGATAATTTTTCTTTCAATAATGCACACTCTTTTCTTCTATTTCTTTAATCATTTTAAACAAAAAGACAACTAGAGTTCAGAATGAGGGTTTAATTTAATGAGAGGAAATAGAATATTATCAGTGGTGAGGTAACTTGTAGACCCATTTCATAATGCTACATAATAAAAATAAAACTTATGAATATATTATTTAATTTTGCAAAATATTTATTGCTTACATGCTTCTTTATTTACATTTCTTCCTTAACTCTGCAGTAAGGCCAACAAACAACGATTAACAACAGTGACAAAAATAATGCAATCTGAGAGGGAACTGAAAAACAGAAGGACACAGACATTTTAGTACTATAATTGAACAAATTTGGGAAGGCAAAGAGAATTTTAAAAATTCAGCCAAAATATAATCTTATTCAGTAGTTTATTCACAGTGGATTGTCATTTGGGGAGCATACACATTAGGTCCTTCTTCCCCTTTTCATATATATGGGCCAAATTTAAGATTTTACCTAAAATTGTCAGCGGATTTTGTGTTAACTTCAAGGTATTAATATAATTATTTTTAAAATATGTTCATGCCTTAGGAAATTAAATGTTTCACTTTAAATTTACATATTTTGTAAAGAGCCTTACTATGTATTTTTAGTATTGTGTTTTCTTTGATCATTACTTGGCCTTTAAACTTTAAAGTTAGTTTAGTTTTAAGTTTAAAGGCCAGGTAATGATCAAAGAAAACACAATCTTACCCAAACTTACATGGGTAAGATTGCTCAAGATCTTATTTGTTTCAAACATTATGACTTAATAAATGTCCTGAAGTTTGGAACCAGAAGACTTGAATGGACTAAATTCTTCACTAACCAAATGTAATATTTTACTGCTCCTGTTTCTCCTGTTCCAATTTTAAACTCTGCCAATAGAGATGCTTCTTGACTTATGGTGAGATTGTCCCAATAAACACAACATAAGTTGAAAATATTATTGAGTAAAAAATACATTTAATTCATCTAACCTGCCAAACGTCATAGCTCAGCCTAGCCTACCTTAAATGTGCTCAGTACACTTACATTAGCCTACGTTGGGGAAAGTCATTTAACACAAAGCCTGTTTTATAATAAACTGTTGAATATTTCACATAATTTATTGAATTCTGTACAAAGGTGAAAAACAATAGTTTTGCACCATTGTATAGCTGAAACATGGTGAGTCGAAGCATTATAAGTTGGGGATCATCTGCACTTCTGCCTTACGGGGGACAGATTGTAGAGAGTGCTTTTGCCCTTTTTTCCATGTCACATTTACTCTTTCCTATGAAGTGAATAGTGGGCACTTCCTATGGAGAGCAAGTAGAAAATAAGTCAATTTTAGGGGTCATGTATGATCCTATCTTTTGGCCTCTAGCAAGTGTACTGGAGGAGTACTGTCCTCTGACCCCGTGCCACATGCTGACCAAATGCAGGATCTGTCGACTCCCCAGGGTAGCCCTGCAGTTCTCCAGCTTCTGTGAGTGGGTGTGTTCAATGCATACAGGGAAGGAGTAGGATGCTTGTGTCCAGCTGCCCTCTCCAGTACAGGTAAACCAGCAATAATACCTTAACCCTCACCAGAAATCTCGAAGAGCATGAAGGTTTTGATCAATTGGACCCTCTGACTCTCACATTAACAAGTGACTTCATCTTTTGAAGACCAAATTTCTCAACCTAAACTATAAACTTTAATGGACAACTTCACAAGTTATTGTTAAGATTAATTGCAGTACTAAATCACTGTTCTATTATATTTGAGGAATTATACTCAGTTTTATATTGTTATCTCATTAATCCTTGGTAACAGCCCCCTGGATTAGGAATTATTGTAACTATTTTAAAAATGAAAGATCCAAATTACTAGACAGTTTAAGTAACTTGAAAAGAATACTAATTAGAAACAAAGTCATATCTGTCTGTTTCAAAAGCCTGGGTTTTGCTCATATATCAAACAATACATGATAATATGTGAAAAAGTCTCTTGGAATTGTAAAGTTTTATATTAAATAATATTTTCAAATGAACTAGATAAATATTTAGTTCAACCTCTCTTTTGAACTCCAAATATCCAATGTTATATAGTTATAATCTTTTTTTTTTTTTTTTTTTTCGAGATGGGGTCTTGCTCTGTCATCCCGGCTGGAGTGCAGGCATACAACCTCGGCTCACTGCAACCTCCTCCTCCCAGATTCAAGCAATTCTCCTGTGTCAGCCTAGTGAGTAGCTGGGATTACAGGCGCGTGCCATCATGCCCGGCTAATTTTTGTATTTTTAGTAGAGACGGGGTTTCACAATGTTGGCCAGTCTGGTCTTGAACTCCTGACCTCAGGTGATCCGCCAGCCTTGACCTCCCAAAGTTCTGGGATTACAGGTGTGAGCCACTGCATCCGACCAATCTGTTTTAATTTATGTAACCACAAACCGTTATATATTGAACATCTTTTTAATATAAATCAAAAATATAATTTCATATTTATGTAACCCTGCTAATGGTGTCATGTTCATATTCTTTTTAAATGAGAAATAAAAATCAGCATTTTTCAGGGGTGGGAGAACAGGGTCTTGCTCTGTCGCCCAGGTTGGAGTGCAGTGGTGCAATCTTGGCTCACTGCAACCTCCACACCCCGGGCTCAGGTGATCCTCCCAGGTCAGCCTCCAGAGTAGCTGAAACTACAGGTGTGTGCTACATGCCTGGCTAATTTTTCTGTTCTTGACAGGGTTTTGCCATGAACTCCTGGATTGAATTATCTGCCTGCATTGGCGTCCCAAAGTGCTGGGATTACAGGGGTGAGCCACTGTGCCCAGCTGAGCATTTTTCTTATACAAAATAATTTAATCATAATTAGAAAAAATTCCATGCCCAATCATTTAATATCTTTGGAAAACATAGAAAAGCACAAAATTTCAAAATTATCCATATTCCCACCATCAAAATGACCATTTTAATGTAGTTCCTTTTAGCAGAAAAGTGCATTCTGACAGAGTAATATAAGTCTAATAATAGCATCATAAGGCATATACTCCCTATAATTTGCTTTTTTTGTTAAAAATTTTTTCCTTTATTTCAATAGCTTTTAGGGTACAAGTGGTTTTTGGTTACGTGGCTGAATTACACAGTGGTGAATTCTGAGATTTTAGTGCACCCGTCATCTGAGCAGTGTGTGTTGAAACCAACATGTAGTTTTTTACCCCACAACCGCCTTCCACCTTCCCCATTCTGAGTCTCCAAGGTCCATTATATCACTCTGCATGCCCTTGTGTATGCATAGCTTAGCTCCCACTTATTATAATTTGCTTTTTCAGAAAATAATATGTTAAATTTTCCTCATCTCAATAGATACTGTTATATTATTCTAATTTTTTAGTAATATTATAACTACACATTATAACATTCTCTAATGCAGGTATTTAGGTTGTTTTAGAATTGCAAACAATATAAAGATATATATTTTATAGAGTATATAGATTTTTGCCCACTTTACTGATATTTCTGTTGGATTAATTTGTAGAAAAATATTTTCTAGGTTAAAAGGTATGAATACTTGAAAGTTTTTAAGAAATATATCTCTTGCCAAGTTGTTTGATGAAACTGTTGAGACAATTTCTTCTTCCACCCCTTGCTCCTTGACAGTGTATAAAGGTGCCAATAGTTTGATAGATTAAAGAACTTTATCTGATTTAATTCATTTATTTATTAAATTTTTAAATTTTATTATTATGTATGTTTACTGACTAGTTTTTATTTTTTATGAATTACATATTAACCATCTTTTCCCATTAGCATATTCATCAATTTATATTGATTTGTGAAATATAGTAAGGTTTATGTGACTAATATTTTTAGTTTGCTCTTTACTTTTTATTTGCAGTCATTTTGGAGGTACAAATGTTTTAAGTTTTAATGTTGTTAAATTTATAATGTTTCCCTTCAATGGTCTCTGACCTTACTGTTTTGTCTCAAAAGTCCTATTCCACTCCATAATTATATAAATATTCACCTACAGTTTCTTTCAGTTGTTTGCTTGCTTCATTTCTTCATGACCTTAGTCCACTTTTGTTGCTATAACAGCATAACTGAAGCTGGGTAATTTATAATGAATGGAAATTTATTTGCTCACAGTTCTGGAGGCTGGGAATTCCAGGATTGGGGAACTGGCATCTGGTGAGGGCCTTGTTGCTGCATCATTCTATAGTGGAAGGTGGAAGGGCAAGAGAGGACATGAGAGTGAACTTGCAGCCTTAAGTCCTTTTTATAATTGACATTAGTCCATTTAGGAAGGCAGAGCCCTTATGACATGAATGCCACTCCTTAGACCCCAACTCCCAACATTGCTGTGTTGGGGATTAAGTTAAACGTGCTATTTGGGGAACATATTCAAACCATAGCATTCATTAAGCTTTTTATTTTACACATGTTTTACTGGAAATAACACATTGATCTATTCATAAATCTCTGTTTTATAGATTCTGAATCAGCCACATCTTTCAATTCGATCTCATGGTGACTAGTTTGGTAAAGACAAGCTTCATGTTGTTTATAGTCTCCCCAAATTTCCAGGAATGTTAGCACATTAATGGAAAAGATAGTCTTATCCACCTCCCTAAAAAGAATATTAGCTGAGTTATAGAAATACAATTAATAATGAGATATATAACAGTTATTAGTTTACTATGTTTCATTATTAATACTACTTATGTTTCATCATTAATACTACATATATCATGAAGTCCTTATTCTCCTGGTGTCTGCTTATCTTTATAAAACTCATACTCAGTATCATTGGAGCATAGATGAGATGGGAATTGGGTGAGCTCTGATGCAAGAGAAGCCACAACTTCTGTGCCATCGCTCCCCTCAAGGTCATGTTTCTTTGAATTCTTTGACATTTATTGACTTCCTCCATTACACAACGCACATTTCAAAAAATATTGCTTAAGTTTTTTATGGTAACTATTATTTTTCTTCTGCTAGCATCCTGGGTCCTTCTTTTCAACTTTTTGTCTTGATAGAATGGATTTACAATTATCTAAAGAACAATTCATAACCTGGTTGCATCTTTTGAGAACTTATCAGCTGTGGTCCATTTAGAAAACAGAAATGACATTACATATTTAAAAAGAGAAAATTTAATATGAAGAATTGTTAATGAAGGATACAATTGTTACTTAAGTAATTGAAAGAGTAAAAAGAGAACTATAAGCTCTTGTGGAGGGAACAACGGCAAGAAATAGCTACCACCCTTGGGGAAGAGATAGAAATTATTAAAACTTAGAAGCTTAAATGAGAGCTCCCAGGGCCTGGGAACCAGACCTTGAAAACAGGAGCACGAGCCAGCTGGAGCTAGTGCATCCAAAGAACATGATGAAGCTGGTTCTGCAAGTGTTGGAAAAAGTGAAACCAGGATTTAGTATTTTCTATGAGAATGAACTGCCCTTGTTTGGGTAAAAAAAAAAAAAAAATGTATTGGTAGGTTGACAAAGTGAGGAAGTCAGGAAGACCACAGGAAACAAATAGGAAGGAGCAAGTCCCTCCTCCCTCTTCCAGGCTCTCAATTTCCTTCAGTACCTCCTGTTGATAGAGTCTAACATTGATCTACCTGGCAAAGCAGAAATGTAGGTTGAAGTCTGAGATTCAATATCAGAATGCAGAGAAGAAAAAGGTAGATTTGGAGCATGTTTTACTCCATTGGCTGTTATAGCAAAATATAAAATTATAAATGGGTAATTTATAAACAACAGAAATTTATTGCTCATCGTTCTGGAGGCTGGTAAGTCCAAAATCAAGATGCCTGCAAATTGTCTGATGAGGGCCTGCTGCTTATAAATGGTGCCTTCTATATATCTTCTCATGGCAGAAGAAGCAAACAGGCTTCTTCAAGCATCTTTTATAAGGACACTAGTCCCATTCACAAGGGCTCGACCCTCATGACCTACTTACCTTCTAAAGCCTCACTCTTAATATCAGTACATTAGGGATTAAGTTTCAACACATGAATTTTGGAGGGAAAAAAACTTTCAGACCATAGCAGAGCCCTAAGGCAATAGCTTAATAATTGGCGTAGGGAAACCTTCCCTGTACTACTTACTAATTTTTCTTCATTCACTTTTTTATACTTTTAGAATCCTTAACACGGACCTCTCACACTCCCATCCATACCAACATATCATGCCCATCTCCTGCTTTGCAGAATTCCTGACTACAATGCTATTTGTGACTTCTAGTTCCTTTGTGATATTTTTTGTTAAAATGTTTCATAACCACATGTATTACTATATAGGAAAGTGACTTTAATCTCCAGTATGGGAATAAAATTGGGCTAACTTAGGGTTGACTTATTTCTGAAGTTCTTAGATGATTGGTGATATTGTAGAATAGAGTATTGAGTAACGTGATAGGGCAGCAGGCAAACAAATCTATCAAGAATTTCCTGGTGTTAATTATCTGGACAAAATATGTGCTTCTGTGTGAATAAAAATGTGGATCATGCCAAGTATGTATGTAATTTTCTCACTGTGTCAGGGCGTCAATTTGTTCTATCTATGGAGTTCTAGCTAGAGAAAAAGTAAGTTACAGAGCAAGTGGTTTCGATAGAGGAATATGATATGTAGGTAAGAGTAGACAGTGTCTCATGGAAAAAAATTCCAAGCCTCATACAAAGTAAATAACCAAAGTCATTAGCAGCTGAACTCATAAACTGTAATAAAATGGTAAAATATAACAAAGCTGTCACATTATCAGATCAATTTACCCAATAACTTTTCTAATCCTTTTCGCATACATTATTCTAGCAAAATACCCAGATGCAATGATTACAGGAAATTTTCAAGTCTACTGGCAAAAGCTCAGAAGACTTTGGCCCACTGAAAACCTTACTGTATTAGCAAAAGCTGTGTAAATGGGCCATTCTGTACTTATAAGGAAACACCTACTGGCTTCAGTTCAGTTTTTAAGTGACTCTAAGGGAAATTTCTTACCGGTTTTTATTGACTATGAATTGCTCTTCCTGTTTAACCAGAACACGTGATTTGTAAAATACAATGCTTAAGGATATATAGCTAACCATTTCTCAACTACAAAATGGGGGCCGATACCTTTACTAAACATGAAGATAAAATCTGACACTTTTTCAATTAAGAGACTATTTCATTTTTATTAAAAAAGGGAATATATGCAGGTTATATCACATAAAAATATTTTGTTGCTCAGAAAATAAATACCACATCATTTAATATTTTAAAATTATTTGAAATAATAGCATTCAGCTATTGGTTAATTGGCACATAATTAATTGATGCCTTAAGATTCTGTAACTAAATCAGGTCTAGATGCTCACTTGCTCAGTTTTGATACACAGTTAAATATAGGAAAATAGAAAGAAAACTGTACGTTTTATAAAAACTATATAAAGCAAAAGTTATGAAAGTATTATTTTACCTGCTATTGCTGTTATATAGCTCTTTAAAAATTTAAACTCCTTTATAGGAAACATTTTTTTTTAGCTTCGAGGAGGAATCTGAGAAAGGTGTTTAAAATATGCATTTATTTTTATATAATCCTAATCGTCAATAGGATTAAATGACTACTGAGAACATAGCACTAAAGTGAATCAGCGTAGTTCACTAATTTGGATATAAATTTGAGATAGCTATGTATATTAATACAGAGACTTTGGGATATATCAGAGTATAAGCTAAGAACTTGAAAAACAGAAGAAATTTAATGTAGGAAATTGGTTACAGATGTGATAAAAGAATTAAGATGCCATCAGGCTGGCAAGGCAACCCAGAATTTAACTGCAGGAAGCCACCAATCCTATACTGAAGAACAAAGAATAGAAGTAGTTTTCCCGAATACCAGAACACAGGATCAACCGAGAGATGAAATTATAATGGGTCTAGCAGGAGGAATCGGGAGAGAGAGTAACAAAGTATTGAAAATGCCACCTGGGGCCCAGAGGCGGGAGTATGCTGGCTGCCTCTCCTTTCTTCCACTCTCCAATGTCCCACCAGTGCCTTCCTGTGTGAGAAACAGCCAGAAGCCAAGATACATGAAAATCTGGAAAGTGCAGCTGCACAGGACTCAGTATCTCACACCCCTACAGCCTCCTCTTCCCAGGATACAAAGGTGAGCAAAGAAAATGGTAGAGAGGTTGACAGTGAAAACACATCCAGGAAAAAGTCAAGATTATTCAGTAAACTGTGTAACTTACCAGCCAAAGGCAAGTGTTTAATGTGTCCCCCATATACTACCTCATCTTTAGTAACTGAACAGTCAGAATATGGTAACAAAGTTTCTAGGAAGTTTAACCTTTTCCTTATAGATTACTTAGATTTTTTTAAAGGAGTAAATACTGTATGGTGAGAAAAAAATTGTACTTTCATCTTCTTTAAATTTTTATACCACTCTCTAAACTTTTTAATGCCAATGTACTCTATTTCTTTTTGGTTGAAGAGGGAACAACCCCATAAAATGGAAAGACAAGAGAAGGCCATAGACCTGAGGATAGACATATATTTTTGCTACTGTCCACTACAGAAATCTGGTAGGGTGAGGCAGTTTCCCTGTGATCTGGCTGGTATTACAACCAGAAAGGAGAGCAGGTAGAATCACATCTCATACTTGACATAGAAGGCTGCACAACAAAAAAGTTGGAAATCAGACTTAGACATTAGTGCTACAGTTTCACTAAAAAGAAGAGTATGCCTAGAGAGACTGAGTTCTCCTTCAAAGCCTCCAGCTTCTTTGCAATTCTCCCCAGGCTTCCTGAATTGGGGAAGTGGAATTTTATCAAACAGCCTTCCATCAAAACTTCATATCTGAGAATAGAGTTTTAATAGCAACCAGGTGGTCAATGAAGGATTCCAAGGGGCTTCTGTCCTGTAGACATTTGGCCTACATAAATCTTTCTCTTTTCTAGGATGAGTCAACTGATGAAAAAAAATCCAATGAACTGAGGTCTATGGACATATCTTCAACATTAGAAATAATATAAAAGGGCTGGGCGCGGTGGCTCACGCCTGTAATCCCAGCACTCTGGGAGACCCAGGTGGGCGGATCACGAGGTCAGGAGATCGAGACCTTCCTGGCTAACACAGTGAAACCCCGTCTCTACTAAAAATACAAAAAAAAAAAAAAATTAGCCGGACGAAGTGGCAGGAGCCTGTAGTCCCAGCTACTCTGGAGGCTGAGGCAGAGAACGGTGTGAACCCGGGAGGCGGAGCTTGCAGTGAGCTGAGATCACGCCACTGCACTCCAGCCTGGGAGACAGAGCAAGACTCCATCTCAAAAAAAAATAAAAATAAATAAATAATAATATAAAATATAAAAGTATAGTTGTGAAAAAAATACATACTTGAAAAAGATTTACTACAGGAAAACTGAAATACATTTTCAAAACTTTCTGCATTGAGTCAGTAAAAAAATTCAAGTAATCATAGACCTTATAAAAAGAATGACTGACTATTTAATAGAAAAGATGGAAATAAAAAGGAAGCTTGGGGAGATGAGAAAATAATGTTATTTTTAGTAGGAAACTAGAAATTCAATAGAAGAATAGAAATCTGCGCAAGATACTGAGGAATAGAAAATAAAGTCAGTGATGTAGTAAACAATAAATCTAAAATGAAATGGAATATGACAGTAGGACAACTATAAGAGACATTATAATAAATATAATTTAATTTAGTAATCTACTATAAGAAAACATTGTGTTTCTGAATGAGAAAATAAAACAAATAAAAAATTAAAAATGCAAAATATTATAAAAGGAATGAATATATTCTGCAATAAGGGACATCCAAATGGAATTTTAAAAAATTTCCTAAATATTTACCAAGAAAAAGTAATGAAAAAAAATCTCAGACATATTCTTGTAAATTTTTTTTTAATTTCTAAAATATAAATAACTCAACAGCCAAGAAATTTAGGTACAGGAGTTTAGCCTTAATATGTCTTTGTGTCACTAGTGCCTCAAATTGAACCTGCCTTTTTATTCGCATCTTATAGATGGAGATACTGCGATTCAGAAATATTTAAGTAACTTTTTCAAAGTCATGCAATCCTTGCCCCACAAATGTTCACTTGGCAAAGCTGGGAGGATCTACTATGTTAAATAAGGGCAAGATTGTTGTCAAGATATTTCATGTATGTATTGGGCACATGAAGTACTCAGAGCATGGAGGTAGCATCTCCAAATGTATGAAGGAAAATGATTGTGAAAATGAAACAAAGAAATGGGTGTTTGTGTTCAACTGAAGTGCCAGCTCATTCTACTCAAAGAAGCTCACTTTGAGAGTCAATGGCAAGGAGACTGAGCTGCTGGAAATTATTCCTTATGAGTTCTTGGCATAATGAATATAAATAAATAAAAACTTGTGGTTTATAAATTAATATGTTAAATAGTACGCAAGGATTTATAATAAAAAACAATCATCGCATGCTCTTGCCCTTTTAATGTCTAATTCTCTTAGCAGTGCTTTTAGCAGTTTTGTCTCAATTCTTCTGGCACACGACCTTTTTTTCTCCAAATATATAGTTAGGTAACTGTAATAAATAGAGTTACCACTCTTTTTACATCTCTGTTGGTTAAATTTAACTTTTAATAGCTAGTCAGATATTTGGAAACCATTAAACTAATGTATTTCTTGTTCCTCCTTTCTCCTATAGCAATTTAATCACCATAGATTAAAGAAGAGGGGTTATCAAGTGGGATATAGAAAATATGATGCAGAGGGTGTCTTTGCCAGACAAGAAGGGGAGTAAATGAAAGTCCTTTCTAGCCAGTAGACTATGGACAACTGGAGAGGAAGAAGCAGTAGAAACACCCTTTTCCACACTTTCCCCTAGCTTCCCACCACTGGGGATGCAGGGTGGAGAATTGTGGGAAAACCAATGACAATGAGTCTGTAGAAATGTGTTCTTGAACAAGCACAGCCAGAATAGGCATGGAGGCACAGTGTAGTTAGGAGAGAAAGTGTGTAATTTATGATGTCTGAGTCTCTCTAGACTCCTTTGTAATAAAGAATCGATTCACAAGTTCCTGCATGTCTTGTGGAAGACAGTGAAGTGGCTAAGATGAAAGCCAGCTGGCCTGGCATGGGGGCTGCACCGGTGAGGCTTGAGATGTCTGGACGTGTGAACTGAGCCAGAGGCTGGTGGAGGACTTTGCTGAGACCTGGAGGGATGGCAGCACAAATAGAGCCGAAGTGGGCTTCAGTCAAAAGGAGAGAAATTCAGCAGACCCGACAGAGCTGAGAGAATAAAACACAATTCTTCAATGCAGACACTAGCAGGGGAAGAGAATAGCGTACCCAGCACATAAGGAACAATCCTGAGGAGCCCTGGGGACCCAGGGAACAGGGCACAGGAGCTCACATAGCCCTCTCCTACTGAGAATCTGTATCAAGTTGGTGTTGGAGGGAAGAAAAGTATATGAGGGGAAGGAAATCTTGGAGACAAGGCATTTCTGTGGAATAAATTGAGTTATTGAAAAGAAACAGTTTAAACTGGAAACAATATATTTAATAGGAGCTTTGCTAAAAAGATTAAATCAATTTTGGAAACACACAAATAACTACATGGTTTTTGTACTGCTGCTAAGTGGCAGCATGGTAATATTTTCATACAAATTATATGTTTAAACTTCTAATTATCACTCAATCAATATCTTGTACTTCCTCAATTTGAAAGATGAATATATTTTCTCCTTTGCCTTTTCTTCCACCTTTCTCTTCCTTTCCTCCTGCCAACAGCTGTCTTCTGTACTTTTACAAATATACAAAGTAGATAATAATTACATTTTTAACCATAATTAAATCTTTATAACTTTTCCTTAAAAAACTGATTCTAAAGGTAGAAATTTTGGGAGTCCTCTTCCTGTTTGATCTGTGTATCACTTGGAATATATTTGATCCCCCAGATGGAGGGCCATTGAATTCCTTTTCCAATTTGGAGAGCATCTTTATGTTTGAAGTCCAGAGATCTTGTATTGTTTTTAACTGTCCTGGAGTTTTCCCTGGTTGCTCTGTAGGCCTGCTGGACAATTGTACAGCTAGGAACCCCCTTCATTAATCTCCTTGGTTAAATCCAGTGTCTCTATTTTATATTTACACCCTCACTCTTTTTTCAGAGTAAAATCCTTAAATAAATTACTCAAAAAAGATATGTGGGAGATAAATATTGTAACACTTTGTACATATATCTTTATTTTACCTACAGAATTATTAATAAGGTGGATGGATATGGATTTCTGGGTGAAAGTAGATTTCCTACATGTTTGAAAGCATTGTTTCATTGTGTTATACCTGTAGTATGTCAGGTGGAAAGTGAAATGCCAATGTGATTTTCATTGCTTTGAACATAACCTGTTTTCTCCCTCTTTCTGGATGATTTTTTTCTTGCCATACTGATGTTTCACATTGATATGTCTAATTGTAGGTCTGCTTTCATTTGTCCTGCTATAGCTTGGTGGTCCCTTTCGATCTGAAGGCTTGTTTTGTTTTCAGCTGGGGGAAACTTGCTTATTTTATTTATGATTAAAATGACTTCACCTGCTTAATTTACTGGTTATTTTTCTGTTTGTTGCATCTCTCAGATTTTCTGGTCCCAAACTGAAAACTACCCAAATACCTATCACAAATGAGATTAGTACCACACAGAGGAAATACAGGGGAATTCAGTGGAATGCGTGCAATGCTATGAACAAATTTCAGAAATATAATGTTGAGTGAGAGAAAGCAGGCTTGAAAGAATACATAAAATATGATTTGAAATATATGAGGTTACACAGACAAACATAAAACTAACTTACGCTGTTAGAATACTGATAATCTTTACTGGGAAAATAAAGACTAGAAGAAGCAGAAAGGTCTCTGGATGTCATGTTGCCCTGTTTCCATATGTGGGTACTAATACACAGATGTGTTATTTGCAAAAATTCTTCAAGCTGTATACTTTATAAATATACTTTTTCTGTAATTATACTTGATTAAAGAGTTTAAAAGAGTAACAGTAAACTTGTAAAACTAATGTTTGCAATATATTTGACACAAAATACTCATTCTTTAATAGTTCAAAGAGAGCTCTTAAAAATGAAGAAAAAGATAACACTCTTTCAAAATGTATAAAGGACAAGAATTTTTAAAAAATCACCAATGAATACATGCAAGTGACAAACATTTTTAAAAAGGTCAAAACTCACTAGTAAATAAATAAATGCAAAGGGATTGGTATGGTATATACTTTATGTTGGTAAAACGAGAGAAATTCTCATGTTGGTGAAGCTTTGGAAACGTGAACACTGACTATTGCAGAGGAGATTAATGCTGGTAGAGACTTTTTGGAGGATGAATTGGCCATGACAGCCAAAATCCAATAAAAGTGGATACTCTGTGGCCTGCTGTGAAACTCTAGGAGCTTACCCTTAAGAATTCATTGTGGATGTTTATAAATATTCTACTACATCAATTATTTATCAAAGCCAATTTATCAGAGTTAATTTTTTTTAACAACTTAGCCCAGAAATGAGTGATGGGTTAATGAATTTGTGTTAAAGTTTTACAATAGTATCTTGTGTGGGCTTTAAAAATGATGATGCATATGAATATTTCATTACATTGAAAGATGTTCAGAATATATTATTAAAGAAAAAATTCCAAATATGCATTTTTTGACACCTCTCCCCCCGCCATATGGAAATGAAATGGAATAGAACAAGAGAAAATGCTAGGTTTATCTCTCACAGGTGGATTATCCATAATTTTATTTTATTTTTTGATATAGGGTCTCACTCTGTTGCCCAGGCTGGAGTGCAGTGGCATGATCATAGCTTACTGCAGCCTCAACCTCACAGGCTCATGCAGTCCTCCCACCTCAGCCTCCCAAGTAGCTGGGACTATAGACATATGCCACCACATACAAATTGTTTTGTTTCGCTTTACTTTTTGTAGAGACAGGGTATCACTATGTTGCCTAGGCTTGCCTCAGTTTTCTTAATTTATGTTGCTCTCTGAATTTTCAAGTGTTTCTATAATGAACAAAAAAGTATTTATTATATTTAAAAGATAAAGGATCTTCTAAAATTATTGATGTTTTGCTCTAAATGATACATTATTCAGATTCACCGAACTTTTTTTGCCTTTCTATGAGTAAGTGTTTTCATTATTTTCATTCATAAAGTTTCTGATGCCAACTAAAATCACTTTAATTTACATATGTTTAAAGAGTTGTTTTTATTCCATTCAAATTTAAGTAATTATGTTTTGAGAAAGAGTAAGAAACAAGTAAAGAAAGAAAATCTTGTCTAATTTACTAAGAAAAAGTCAAATTATATAATCTCTGCACGGAAGCAATGAGCAGACAGATTAATTTTGGGTTTCTCTGCCAATTAACCATGAATACTTCATTCAGTTCCTGAGCTAGGTGCAGAGATGAGACACGATACTGACTAATTATATGCAGGCTAAAGAAAAGCAGGACTGAGACTTACCAGGCTTTGGAGCCTCTCTAATTTCCTTAGATGGTTTAAGATTTAGTCAATGGCATACGTCAGGCCCTAGAGGGAATGAGGTTCTAACTAAAAGCTAAAGATTTAGTTATACAATCTTGGTAACAGTAGAAAGTGTGATATTGAAAGTTAAGTGTTATAATTGGAAGTCTAATTTTCTTTAGACTTTTTGCAGCATATACATTTCACTTAATTTTCCATTCATATGCAATAATACTACTGATGTAAAACAGTTGTGCTATTGCATGGATGCTTTTAAAAGTGTATTCTACAAGTGCATAAAAACCAAGATAGTCTCCTGGGAGAGGCAAGAGGGAAAGTGCAAGAAGTAATATCCATGAAGGCAGTTCTTAGAAATCTATATATTTCAAAATAGTAGTTAACAGTGCTAAGTCAGCCAATTATATGGTGTTTCCCCTGAATTATCTTTTTTTACCCTCTGATTCTGTAAAGTGTACTAATTATGTAAATATAATCTAATTTACCCCAACTTTCAAATAGTTAACCTAACATTTAATCTCAATCTATGTTTGGGTAGCAGGTATGAATTTCGGTCTATGTGATGTTTTACTTTCAATATTACTTAAGATTTATTTTTATCTCCCATTTTGTCAGCTGAAAGAAATTTAATCTCAGTTGGTTCAGGGTTTACCTACTCCTGGGCCTAGGCTCTCATTAAGTTCCCAGAGGCTGACAGAGTGCCAAGTCACAGGATGGGAGGGCATCTGTTACTCAGTGTCTCCCTCTATCCAGATGGCACTGCTGGGATGTGTTTATTCCCATCTGGTCTTTAGTCATTGGTCTCTGTAGGTAGATGCTGACTCATCCTTTGTCCTAAGCACTAGACCTTTTCAATTTTTCATCTGCTTTCCTGCCCTTTCCATACCCTTTTGGGTTTTAGTAAACTATGGATCTGACTAGGGTCATTATCACTTTGGTACTACTCTGGGATGTACAGAATCATACTGTCCCCTTGGTATGGAAAACTCTGTCCCTTGGTATGGAAAACTCTGTCTCCTGTATCTCCATATTTTTACATGTAGAGATCAAGCTGACTGTAATCTGTACAACTACCACATAGAGATTTTGTGCATATTAAAAAATGGAACCCCCTCTGGGCAGATCAGCCCTGCGAGCAGAAATGCCCTTCTGTGGATGTGCTTCCTCCAGGTGAGTATACTATCACTCAAGGTACATGCACATGGCTTGCTGAGTGGAAATGCAAGCTGGATTGCTTTTTTCTTCTCTTTTCTTTCCTTTTTTTTTTTTTTTTTGTTTTATACAGGGCCTCACTCTGTCACCCAGGGTGGAGTCCAGGGCTGTGAGGTGTGGTCATGGCTCACTGCAGCCTCAGCTTCCCAGGCTCAAGTGATCCTCCCACCTCAGCCTCCAGAGTCGCTGGGACTACAGATGTGCTCCACTACACATCTGGCTATTTTTTGTATTTTTTTGGTAAGGGTGGGGTTTCACCTGGGTGCCATTTTGCCCAGGTTGGTCTTGAACTCCTGGCTCAAGCAATCCGCCTCCCTTGGCCTCCTAAAATGCTGGGATTACAGGCAAGCTCCATCATGCCCAGCCACACACTGGATTGCAATCTCCTTATTCATCAGGTCCCATGATTCAAAGTACATTTCTTTTTTTTTTTTTCTAATACCCCAAGTCTGCCTCTTTATTCAATACACAGTTGTTTAGAACACAGTTGTTTAGGCAGCTGTCTGTATACCCAGCAGTATAATAAACATATTTCTCAATTATATCCAAAAGTCCATTGGTGTTTTTGTTAAATGCCTTGCTGATGTCGAAATGCACAATATCCTTGATATTAACTTGATTTCAAGTCTAATACTCTATTTTTAAGGTGAGACTAGATTTTCACAACTTTTGATAGTCACTCCTCATTATTTCTTTTAATCATTGATAGATTTCATAAGTGCTCATAAAACTTTTAACAACCTTCTAAAGTTTGCCTTAATTTCAATATCATGCATACAAATACAACATTACTAGAAACAAATGTTCTCTCTTCATTGCCTTCTCTAAAAGTAAACATTTTCCAGCCCCTCTGATTTGCAAGGAATTATGGTAGATACTATGTGATGCATAGGAAAAAAAACCCACCCAATATGGCATTTTTTGAGGGTGTGAGGCTCTGGGAAAGTGTTAAAGAAGGAAAATTATATTTATTTGTCTGGGATATTATAAAATGTTATTTATTTATAAAAATACACTTATATAATTTTTAGGTCTGTGATATTTTAGGCGTATTTTATTATGTTTATTTTTCCCACCAGATTCATTTGGTAGGTATTATAAATTTTATTCTCATTTTATGGATGACAAAATTCATATCATGAGAGGTTATACTACCCAAAGGCATCGAGCTATTTCAGACAAATGCATCTTCTTCCAAAGTCAATTCTATTCTATTTAATAATAGTGCTCAATGTTAGTGTATTTAATATTAGCTTATTAAAAAGCACATTCATGGGTCCTATCCCTAGAGATACAGATGCAGTCAGTCTAAAGTAAGCACTACGATCTAATTTTTAACAAGTATTCCAAGTGATTTTGATGGAACTACTCTTTAGATCATAGCTTGAGGAATTGTACTAAAACATATGGCCTCAGAAGTGACAGTCTTGTATGGAATTACCAATGCATAAAAAATTACAATAAGAATAAACGGGACTAATTGTACAATGCAGTTACAAAGCACCTTAGAGAACTAGAGACAAAAACTTTGGGTGAAATGCAAGTGGATCTGGAAGACATTTAGTCTGCACATTAAAAGTTGGCTTTGATTTAACAGGAAGATATGACAGAAAGGATCATGCACATATGTATAGAGATAGTAGAAGAAAAATTAAGTTCAGGATGACTACAAGTTATAGTGCAAGGTGATAGGTATAGAAGATAATATCTTTTGCAATTAGGTTGTACATGGGTCATGCACTCAAAATTCATCTATGCAAAAAACATAGGCTATTTTAGATAATGTGAATCTTCTATTTTTTTAAAGGACCATAGTGATGTAGATCAGCTCTGTTTGCTTCAGATGATAAAAATGGAAGTATTAGGAAGAATGAATGAGGCAGGGGTTACAATCCACTTTAGAAACTCTTGTTTTAGACCATAGATGTATAATAGTATCTGAGAGAATGGAAAGTGAGTAGAATGAAAGGGACAGATCTCAGAATGCTTTCATGTTAAAAATACCCAGATGTATTGATTGACAGTAGCTGCTAAGGAAAGAAAAAAGACTCAAATATTTCTTTAACACAAAACTAAGGTGGCTAAAAAAGTGGTACACAGACAGTGGGCAAGGGATCCTGATATCTGTGGGTTGGTGAGTCAAGTTTAAATATAGCCTGCAAACCTAGACTACATTTTCAAGCCTAGCAAGGCTTTGAAGTAGATAGAAATAAGAAATAATAGCTTGAGGAAAACCCAGGGTAAGGAAAGAAGGTGATTTTTTTTTTTTTTTGAGAACCGAGGAAATTTTGTGTGTTTATAGACTGAGATTGAGATAATGAATTAAGACACAGGGTGAAATTAGGGGGCAAATAAGGAAACAAATGATTAGACAAAAAGAAGACAGAACGAAATTAAGATGTTAAATGAAGGGAAAGAATAGATCTATTTAAATACAAATAATTGCTATGAAGCACTCCGTGTCAGGTCTTAGAATATCTCATTTAATTTTCACAACAACTTTAAGGTATAAATTTGTGAACCCAGAAAATCTGAGACAGGTTTCAGTTAATTTAGAAAGCTTATTTTGCCAAGGTTGAGGACGTGCCCGTGAAGCCTCAGGAAGTCCTGATGACGTGTGTCCAAGGTGGTTGGGGCGCAGTTTGGTTTTATACATTTTAGGGAGACAAGATATCAATCAATATATGTAAGAAGTACATTGGTTCTGTCAGAAAGGCAGGACAACTTGAAGCAAAGTCAGGAAGACTAGAAAGTGGGAGGGAGCTTCCAGGTCACAGATAGGTGAGACACAAACAGTTGCATTATTTTGAGTTTCCTATTAGCCTTTCCAAAGGAGGTAATCAGATATGCATCTATCTCAGTGAGCACAGGGATAATTGGAATAGAATGGGAGGCAGGTTCACCTTAAGCAGCTTCCAGCTTGAGTTTTTCCTTAGTGATTTGGGGAGCCCAAGATACTTTCCTTTCATATTTTTTTACATTTATTTTAAATTGGAAGAAAATGAGGTGATAAATAATTGGTTTAAGATTATCCAGTAAGAAAGTGGCAAATCCATATTTTTTTTTACTTTTTTATATTGTTTCTTTCCTTTGTGTCACAAGGCAAATAATAATGATTGAGAAATTATAGAAAACCACTTGAAAAAGGGGAAAATAATTTGAAGGAATTTGAATTGAGTGTTTTTAACTTTTTAAATAAACAAGATAAAGTCATTTGCTTATAGATTAGGCTGCATCTAGAGATTGGCAAAGGTCTAAATTACTGGGAGATAGTTATTGAAGAGATAATTAATTTTGGATAAATAATAAATAAGAGAATAATTTGTGGTTAATATTCATTAATCAGTTGCAGTTAGATTTTAAGTTTGTGATGAGACCAATTTGTGCAATAACATGAGATTTCTCCTGCTATACTTAGTCATTTCAAATGGAGATGGAGAAACAGAAATATTAACATGGAATTAGGAACTACCAAAGTATGTAAAGCAAAAAATTAATTCTTGGCTGCTTATTCGAGATCACAGCTTAAAGATTGACCATGGTTAGTCTGGTTAAGGAAGTAAATGAGGCCAGAAGAGAAGCTTGGGGAATAGGACCAGATTAAGGGTTTACATTGTGCAGTAAAGATCAGTATTTGAAGGATTCACACATTGGGAGATTTGGAAGAAACTGATGCTGTGATCAGATCTTGAAGGTTGATCAGTGAGAGGCGATGGTGTGCTTCAGGGTGCTGCTGCATATGTGGGCCGAAGTGGAGAGGATGGGCATTAGAGTTAAGATGTTTTGAAACTTAAGGGCTCTGCTGTTGGAAAGGTTATCCATGTGAACAGTCACTTAAATTATGGTAGAACAAAAAAAGGAGAGCAAATATGCAATCTAGTTGCTAAAACTGAAGAATATGGAGTACTCTCTTGCAAATCATTTAAATGATGGACAGGAAAAACAGTGTAAACATATCATATGGATTACAGAAGAGAGGAAATGGGAAGCCAACAGGAAAGAAAGAGGATGTCAGCTCATTTCTTGTTATTGTGAGAAGAAAATTTGCATAGCACCTTGCACAATTTATGTACACAGTAATTTTATTTAGCTTTAAGATAATTGTGAAGTTGACGGTTTCTGATGAAACAATAACTTATAATTTAATTACAGAGTTACTTAACCACTGCTAGATCTCAAAATATGTATCATTGAGAAATTAGATTTAAATTGAGGTACTTAATTATTTCCATTAACATAGATTATTACAACAGTGACGAAGTGGAAATTTTATAGTCTTCAACTTGTGATATGAGTAAATGAAGTAAGATTAGTGAAATTGAATAGACCATAATTGTCAGGATCCATGAGCCAGATACTGCCTATGTTATTTTTCATGTTTCGGTCCTACTGGGTGACATAAATTATCTTTCAAAAGTTTTGGTACTGACTATGTATAGAAAAAAATGCAACAAAGAGCTAAATATTTGCTACTGAAGAAAAGGCAAGCAAGTTGCAGTTTATTTGGAGTTGGTATCACTCCACCAGTGTTCAAGATTTCTCATTATAACCTCTAACTCAAAAAGATGTTCTGCCCTCAAGAAATAATATCTAAATGTCTATAGTTATTTAGAGTTCAAATAATTTTCAGTTGCAAGTTTTCAGTGGAAAGAATCTCTGTGTTGTTATTTTTTAAGGAGGAAATTTTTATTTTTCATCTGTGTAAGCAGACTCTATTAAAGCTGACAGCATAAGAAGTTTTGGAGAGAACTTTTTGACATCTATGTGATGTGCTCAGAAGAAAAATAATAATTCTAAATTTTAGCCAAATTGAAGCCTATCTAGAAAGAGCTAAATGGACATCCCAGCATATTAATCTCTGGCTTGTTTGGTGCAGCTTGCTTTGATAATTACATAAAAAGATTACAGTAACAAAAAATCACACCTTAGTTAAAGGTGTGTTCTCCATTGTAAAGCAGTATTTTGGTTCTGTAGTTCAGTCATAGCAAACGTGACTGAATGAAAATTTAGACAGGTCAGGCCTCAATCTAGAAGAAATGCAAGGGAGAAAAAGTCACTTGTTCATTTTTACTCTAGAAGGAGTAATACTACAAGATGTTTTAATGTTGAATCAACAACTTGCTTTGGATTATATTTTCTAAAATGTAATCCAATACCTGTCTTTTTTCTTTTTCTTTTGAAATAGTTTTAGACTTACAGAAGAGTTGTGAAAATATTACAGAGTTCACATATTCTCTTCCCTCAGTTTCTTCTTTTTACAATTTATAAACCATGAAACAATTATCATTCACATTATTACAATACCATTAACAAAGCTACACCCCATATTCAAATTTCACTATTTTGGCTCCTAATATACTTTTTCTGTGCTAGGATCCAATCCAGAGTTCCACATTACATTTAATTGTTGCCATAGTCTCTACCAATTTGTGATAGTTCCTCAGTTTCTTCTTCTCTTTCATGACCTTGACATTTTTGATAAGGACTAATGGTTACTTTTTAGAATATCTCTCAATTTGAATTTGCCTTTAGTTTTCTCCTAAGGTTGAGGCTGTACATTTTTGGGAAGAATACCACAGAAGTGATGTTATTGTCCATCTATGCCCCTGCATCATATCACAGGTATTTATGATGATATATCTTTTTTACTGGTGATGTTAACCTGGATCATTTGGCTAAGGCAGTGTCTGCTGGCTTTCCCACTATTTTTGCCCTTGTAATTGGTTAAGTATCTTCAGAGTGATACAATGTGGGTATGCAATGTTTCTCCTCAAACTTTTGCCCAATTTTTGCAACTTCTTGCCTGCAACAATTATGACCGTAATGTTTGTAGTTGGCCATCTTAAAAAAAAAGCACATTTGTTTCTAATAATGGTATATTTAAATGAAAAATGCAAACTCAAATCAGTCAACATTTTGCTTTTTATAGAGTTATCAGATGGCAATCTACAGGTTCATAGTTTAAGCAATGCATCCTAAAAGAGTTAAAGGATGTGAAGTAATGAAATAGAAATTTTAATTATACTACCTGTATTTGCTGCATAATTGGAATTTCATTTCCATTCTGAATTTGTTGGGAGAAGCGGAAACAGCTTGCTGCTTTAGTGGGCTGGCATGTTTGCAATGAAATGTTCCAAGCTTCTCAGCAGTCAGGTGAATATCCCAGCCTGAGGTCACCTTCACTGTATATCCCTAAGATAAAAGCAATTTTAGAGTATTTTTGATCCTGAGGATGTCCTAATTATCCAGTTCCAGAAATTGCCAATTGAGGCGATATTCAATTCTAACCCTACTTTCCATTTTAGACTATTATTATTAACACTACTATTATTGTTATTAAACAATTTTTACTCTTGTGAAATTTCCCAATTAGTTTAATTAATTGTGTAGTCTCTAGGTTTCTGAATATTTGAGACTCAACAGCACTAATCTTTCTTCTCCACTTCCTTCTTCCTTTATATTATCTTGTTCTTATTGGTGTGTAATTCCAAAGAAACAGGATGGGAGATGATAATTATTTTTAAAGCCCTGAGAAATTTTAGTTTACTATACAAAAACCTAACTTACATTCACACAAAGTTTATTCTATGAAATAATTTTCATAAGTGAGAAAGAATATAACTATCTATGAGGGCTCTGTGTGTGTCTTCTTATTTGTAATAGTTTTATCTTACCTGCCTAGAACAGCCTCTGACATATACTAAGTTCCCAATAAATATTTGTTAAATATTATGTTAAGTTAAATAGCCAGGAACAGAAAAGTAAGCACTGCATGTTGTCACACACATGAAAGCTAAAAAATGTCAATCTCATAGAACTGAAAAGTAGAACCGAGGATACCGTAAAGGCTGGGAAGGGGAAATCTAAGGGGGGAATAGAAAGAGATTTGTTAAAGGATACAAAATTACAGCTAGATAGGAGAAATGCCTTCTCGTGTTTTGTACCTCTGTAGGATGACTATAGTTTATTATACAGTTTCAAATAGCTAGAAGGAGAATATTGAACTTTTCCAACACAAAGTAATGATAAACGTTTGAGATGATAGATATGCTTATTACCCTGATCTGATCACCGTAAATTATATGTATCCAAACATCACTTTGTACCCCATGAGTATTCACAATTATTATTTGTCAATTAGAAAAATAAAATAAATAAAATTGTGTTCTTGTAGACATAAAACAATTGCTGAGTGAATAAATTAATTTTAGGCAAAATAAAAGCCTCCTAACACCACAAGAGTGATATGAAGAACTGATAGCCCTATCTCTTCTCCTCATTAACATTTTTATTTCTTTAGTCATTTATGAGTATGCATTCATGGTTCTTATTTTACTGTATGAGTTATAATCTGTTACTATCACTATTTATTTTAATCCTCAAATTTTTGGACTGGGCTTTCTTGACTAGAATCTACCTGTTCCTCAGCCGACTGTGCATGACTGATTTGAATGCCAGCTGCTCCTGGGTTGCAGCTTAATCTAACACACTCCTCCTAACGCACTGTCTATGCTGAAGTGTTTTCAAGTGAGTTACAGACACTGTAACTAACATAAGGGTCCAGTTCTGTAGGGAATCAATTAAAGTTGAAATATGGGCCTCCAAGTGAAAACCATAAGCTTTGAAAAACAAGCATTTTGAAAATGCTTTGAAGCATGAGTATCAGTCAGGCCCTCAATGAATTCAGGTAAGGCTTGTCATTTGATGTATCACTTATTGAAGCACACAATTTCTTTGGTATTTTGAAAAACAATTATTCAAATTTATATGTTTCTTTTTTTTTTTCTTTGGGAAAAGTCTTTTTAGTTTGAATCTGCCTAGGATTAGAAATAATGAAATGTTCTTTGAAATTAGTCTTTTGCTGGCTTCACTTCTGGTGATTTATGAAAAGTACTGGGACTTGAGGTTTCTTGTTAATTATATCTGTAATAAGTTAGCTATTCAAACAGTGAAAAAATTCCCATGTGCTAATTCAAACTGATCTTGGGAAAATTAAAATCTTTTATAAAGTCTATATATTATAGAATAGGGATGAAATGTAGATGCTCACTTTCTTTTGTAGTTTGCTCATTGTATATCAAATTTTATGTTCATAAAAATGTTTGTATTAACCTCATTTCTCCTGATTATTACTTCATAAATATTATTTTAATAAATTTATAGAAGAGGTCTATAAAATATAAAACATATAAAAACCTACAATAATCTCACATTTTTAAACTTCAGAAGTAATTTAGATAAGGATAAGCTCAGTTAGATTTTAAATTCAAGGAACGTATAGTATTTCTAAGCCAGTCAAAAATGCTTAGAGCACCCACAAACATGGTAATCATAATTCCATCTTAATTCTGTTTTTTCTTTCTGTGAGCTATTAATTGCCTTTTAGAGAAAAAGTAAAAATGAAGAGGGAGATATGATAGCAGAATATAATTTCTCCTAATGCTTTATAGCTCCAGCCTACTCATTTTCATACTTTCATTTAACTCTAACAACAGTCCTATGAATAAAGTGTCATTATCACTGTTTTCCAATTGAGAAAATTTAATTTTCAAGATAACTTGCCATGGTTATTTAAATGAGTTCACTGTATTGGAAATGGGACTAAAACCTAAATGCTTTTACTTCAAATCCTCATTTTTCACTTAACCATGCTTTGCCTTGTGAAAATGTGAAACGTGATGGAAAGAATATCCAGAAAATGAGTTGTAGTCTTGTCCCTACCATGTATAATGTGTGACTTTGAAGTAGCTTCATGCTCTCAGTTTTCTCTGAGGTCTCTTCTGGCTCTCAGTTGCTATCTGGACATTCATTTGGCACATCTTCATTGGGTGCCAACCCCCGCCCAATCACTTCTTAGGCACTGGAGATAAAGGGTGAATTGTACCACTTTTCTCACAGAACTTATGTTAAAGTGGGCGTCTTATAGGCCATAAACACGTAAGCCCATATATAGGTGGAACTTTTATTAAAATTTATGTAAAAGGAGAAAATTCTAAGACTTACAGCTGGTTAAGAGAACATGAAGGACCTGTTCTGTAATTTCATTACAGAAATTACTTTTAATTAATCAATTAAGTTTTTAAACAAATTGGAGATATTTATGGTGTACAACATGATGGTTTGAAATATATATACATTGTGGCATGACTAAATCAAGCTAATTAACATATGCATTATGCATTACCTTACATATCAGTTTTTTTGTGGTAAGAAGACTTAAAATCTACTCTTTTAGCAATTATAAAGTATGCAATGCATTGTTATTAACTCCATTCACCCTGTTGTACAATAGATCTCTTGAACTTAATCCTTCTGTCTAACTGAAATTTGTATTCTTTGACCAACAGCTCCCTGCACAACCCCCTGACCAGTCCCCAGTAACCAGCATTCTACTCTGCTTGTGAGTATGACTTCTTTAGATTCTACATATAAGTGAGACCATGAGGTATTAGTCTTTCTGTGCCTGGCTTATTTTATTTCACATAATGCCCTCCAGCATCATCCATGTTGTCGAAAATGGCAGGACTTCCTTCATTACAAAATTTATTAATATGCATATTATTGACCAAAATCTGGACTTTTCAGCCAATCTTAATAGCTAATTTATTTTAGTGTGATTGATTTAACATTGATCATCAGGTTCTGAGTTTTACTTCAATAATAATATAGATATAATTTGATTTCCATTATATTTTATATTTTCAAAACCATATTTGGTTAAGTATACTGAATTATTTTCTTTTCTTTGGGCATTGTATTGCTAAGTTTATGTGATGTATGCCTGCATTATAAAAAACAGTTTTATTGAGATATAATGCCAATCTTCTCATTTAAAGAGAAAATACAGTGGATTTTTGTATGTTCACAAAGTTGTGCAACTATTACCACAATTAATTTTAGAGAATTAAAATAAAGACTTTAATTTACAATGGCATCATATTATATGTTTAAGGATAAATCTGATAACACATGTGAAAGACATGTACACTGAAAACTATAAAATATTACTGAGATAAAGACCTAAATAAATAGATATATCATATCTGTGGATGGAAGACTCAAAGATATTAGGATGTCGATTCTCTCCAAGCTGATTTATAAATTTAATTTAATCCCAGCCAAAATCCCAATAGGCTAATTTTTGTTAAAAATTAAAAAACTGATTCTAAAGTCATCTAGAAATGTAAGGAAACTAGAGTAAACAAAAGCATTTTGAAAAAATAAAAAAGAAAACTGGAAAACTAATGCTATCCAATTTCAAACTTATGAAAAAGTTACAGCAATCAAGACTATAGTTTTGGTGTGAATATATAGAAATAGATCAATGGAACAAAAATAGACCCTCATATGTGGCAACTGATTTCTACTATAGCTGCAAAGGCAATGCAGCAAAAATGGCCTTTTCAAAATTAGTGCTGGAACAATTTAGATATCCATATGAAAAAGAGAACTTCAATCTATATTATTCATCATATATAATATTTAACTCAAAATGGATGTTAGGCCCAAATTTAGATTTCAGTCAAAATTTAGATTTAAATATAGATGTAAGTCTTAAAACAATAAAGCTTCTGAAACAAAAAGTTGGAGAAAACCTTTGTGACCTTGGGCAAAGCATAGAATTTTGGGTATTACATTAAAAGTATGCCACATCAAAGGACAAATTGATAAATTATACTTCATCAAAATTAAAATAATTTGCTCCTTGAAAGAATTAGAGAATGAGAAGACAAGTTGGAATATTTGCAAATCATATAGCTGATAAAGGATTTGTATCCAGATTAAGGAATTCTCAAAACTTAATAACAAAACAAAATCATATTTTAAAAATGGGCAAAATATTTAAACAGAAACTTCATCAAAGCAGACATACAAATGCACATACGCAAATAAGGACAGGAAAAGATGCCAGACATCACTAATCATTAGGCAAAGGCAATGAGATTCCACTAACGCCTATTTATTATAAAGGCTAAAATTAAAAATCTTGACCATCCTAAATATTGGTAAGGATATAGAGACATTGCGGCTGTCTTAACAGTAGTATCACACACCACTTTAGAAAACCAAATTGTCAGTTTCTTAAAAAGTTGAACCTATACTTACCATATAACCTAAGCATTCTATTCCCAAGTATTTACCCAAGAGAAATAAAAGGCTATGATTCTACAAAGATTTATAATAGAATGTTTATAGTAGCTTTATTAGTAATAACCCCAAATGTGAAACAATCCATATGTCAATCAATAGGTGAATGGATATACAACTGTGTTATAGCCATGTAATGGGATTCTACTGAGCAATAAAAAGAAACTATTGAAACATATTACAACATGAATAAAATAAAAAATACTGAATGGAAAAAAGCTAGACAAAAAAGTTCACATATATGATTCCATTTATATAAAATCCTAGAAAATGTCCCCTAATCTATAGTATTATAAAGATCACTGGCTGTCTGTGGATGGGTGTAGGGGAAATGAGGGTATCTGGGATTATAAAGAGTCACAAGGAACCTTTGGGGGTTGAATGAATATTTCCGTTCTATTAAGTGTGCTGGTGGTTTCATATGCATTTATACATGCAAATTTATCAAACTAGACAAATTAAATATGCACAATTCATTCTACGTCTATTATATATTAGCAAAAGTATTAAATTAAAAGAGAAAAGATGGTGAATTTATTGAATGCTTTTCATTCTCCACATCTCTAACATTTCAAACACTAGATTTCCCTTCCCAAGAATTTAGGTTATTTAATTCCTCATTAACTGAGCCTATAAAGCTTCCTAATGTTATTTCAGGGTGGATTTCAAAACCTGAAGGAAAAATTTAGCCAAGCGCTTTCATTATAAGTCTTGGCTTACTTCTTGGAAATATGACTAAATGATTACTATAACTGAAGACAGAGAGTGGCCATTTAAAAAAATTAAATATATGTTTGATAAAATCCCTTACTTATGTGCCCATTTACTTTGTAAGTGCAAAAAGCATGTACTGAGTATCTGAGAATATTAGTGTTCAAAGATAGTCTCTTCAAAACAGAGCTTTGCAGAATAATAAAAAATAGATTGAGAGAGTTAGAATGCTAATATAGGTAAAATTGAAAGATTCTTTTTGTTTTCTACACTAACTGCCAACATTAGCTAATTTCATTTACAAGTAGCCGTATGCATTTGAAATGGGGTCATTCTTGAGGGATGAAAATAAATATTCCTTAATTCTATGCCAATACCTCTACGTAATGATGACGCCTGGCTTGAGATTCTACATTTTTTCTTTTTTCTTTTCTTCTTCTACTTTTTTTTTCTTTCTTTCTTTCTTTCTTTCTTTTTTTTTTTTTTTTTTGAGAAGGAGTCTCACTCTGTCTTCCAGGCTGGAGTGCAGTGGTATGAAAGTGGCTCACTGCAACCTCTGTCTCCTGGGTTCAAGCGATTCTCCTGGCTCAGCCTCCTGAGTAGCTGGGATTACAGGTGCCTGCCACCATGCCTGGCTAATTTTTGTATTTATAGTAGAGACGGGGTTTCACCATGTTGGCCAGGCTGGTCTCAACTCCTGACTTCAGGTGATCCTCCTGCCTTGGCCTACCAAAGTGCTGGGATTACAAGCATGAGCCACCGTGCCTGACCCTAAATTTTAGTCAGTAATTAAACACTTTCTGGATAGGGGGTTGTGCTATGCAAGAGAGCTCTACATCTCCTCTCCTGGCATTTACAGTGATTTCAAGTTCTGTTTGTAAAAAATTTAACAGGAGCCCAGCACTTTGTTAATTGTAAAATACATATATCTTCAAAAGTATCTTAAAAGATAGGCAGATCCTTATATTCTGATTATATTTTGTAACATAGAGGCAGCTCAGTCTGCAGTGATACCTCTTCTATTTATTTTGCTTCATTTTATTTTGGATGAAGGTATCAAACATTAGCAAATGTACAAGGCATTTACACCTATTCATATTCCTGTTCATCTCTTTGAAGCCCTCTCTAACTACTATGTAGTACAAAACAGGCCACAAATGAGATAAAATTTTGTTAGTAGAGCTAACTCAGTGATCTACCAGATTGAATTAATGATGTCTTAACAATGAAATGTGGTTTATTTAAATATATCAAAATAGATATGTGTAGCTGGCAAGCAACAAAATAGAAAAGCCTAAAGCAAATATTCTTATCTTACAGTGTGAGAGGTTTGGCGTATAATCCTTGACTAGTCACTTCAGCTACTGGCAAGGTCATTCTTTGGTTGGTAATTTCAACTTGTCCAGGAAGCCATGATTTATGATGAAAATACTACCTTCCAGTTCTGTAACAAGATGCCATAGAATCATTTTTGCCTGTTTCTTTCCTCTAAATAAAATTAAACACCCTATACATCATTCAACAGACAATGATAAAAGTACTCTTCTATTAGTCCATTTTCATGCTGTTAAAGATATACCCAAGACCGAGCAATTTACAAAAGAAAGAGGTTTAATTGGACTTACAGTTCCACGTGGCTGAAAAAGCCTCACAATCAATTATGGTGAAAAGCAAGGAAGAGCAAGTCACATCTTACACAGATGGCAGCAGATAAAGAGAGAACTCGTGCAGGAAAACTCCCCCTTACAATAACCATCAGATCTCATGAGATTACTCACTATCACAAGAGCAGCACAGGAAAGACCTGACCCCATGATTCAATTACCTCCAACCAGGTCCCTCCTACAACACATGGGAATTTAAGATGAGATTTTGGTGGGTCATGGCCAAACTATATAATTCCACCCCTGGTCCCTCCCAAATCTCATGTCCTCACATTTCAAAACCTGTAACGCCTTTCCAACAGTCCCCCAATGTCTTAACTCATTTCAGCATTAACTCAAAAGTAAACAGTCACATCTGAGACCAGGCAAGTCGCTTCTGCCTGGCCTGTAAAATCAAAAGCAAGTTAGTTAATTCCTAGATACAATGGGGGTACAGCCATTTGATAAATACAGCCATTCTGAATAGGAGACATTGGCCAAAACAAAGGGGCTACAGACCCCATGCAAGTCCCAAATCCAGTGGGGCAGTCAAATCTTAAAGCTCCAAAATGATCTCCTTTGACTCCATGTCTCACATCCAGGTCATGCTGATGCAACAGGTAGGTTCTCAAGGACTTGAGCAGCTCTGCCCCTGTGGTTTTTTCAGGGTATGGCCTCCCTCCTGGCTGCTTTCATGGGCTGGCATTGAGTCTCTGCAGCTTTTCCAGATACTCAGTGCAAGCTGTCAGTGGATCCACCATTCTGGGGTCTGGTGGATGGTGGCACTTTTCTCATAGCTTCACTGGGCATTGCTCCAGTAAGGACTCTGTGTAGGGGCTCTGACCTCACATTTCCCTTCTGCACTGCCCTAGCAGAGGTACTCCATGAGAGCTCTGACCCTGCACCAAACTTCTGCCTGAACATCCAGGTGTTTCCATAAATCTTCTGAAATTTAGGCAGAGGTTCCCAAACCTCAATTTTTGACTTCTGTGCACTCAGAGGCTCAACATTACATTAAAGCTGCCAAGGCTTGAGGCTTGCACCCTCTGAAGCCACAGCCTGAGCTCTACACTGGCTCCTTTCAGACATGGGTGGAGCAGCTGAGATGCAAAGCACCAAGTCCCTAGGCTGCACACAGCACAGGGACCCTGTGCCTGGCCCAAGAAACCAGTTTTTCCTCCTAGGCCTCCAGGCCTGTGATGGGAGGTGCTGCTGTGAAGACCTTTGACATGCCCAGGAGACATTTTTCCCATTTTCTTGGGGATTAACATTCGGCTCCTCGTTATTTATGCAAATTTCTTTAGCACATTCTAATTTCTCCTCAGAAAATGTGACTTTCTTTTCTATCACATTGTCAGGCTGCAAATTTTCTGAACTTTTATGCTCTGCTTCCCTCATAAAACCAAATGCCTTTACCAGCTCCCAAGTCACCATTTGAATGCTTTGCTGCTTAGAAATTTCTGCCACCAGATACCCTAAATCATCTCTCTCAAGTTCAAAGTTCCACAAATCTCTAGGGCAGGGGCAGAATGCTGCCAGTCTCTTTGCTGAAACATAACAAGACTCATCTTTGTTCCATTTCCCAACAAGTTCCTCTTCTCCATCTGAGACCACCTCAGCCTGGACATTATTGTTCATGTCACTATCAGCATTTTTGTCAAAGCCATTCAACAAGTCTCTAGGAAGTTTCAAACTTTCTCACATTTTCCTGTCTTCTTATGAGCCCTCCAAACTGTTCCAACCTCTGCCTATTACCCAGTTCCAAAGGCTCTTCCACATTTTCAGGTATCTTTTCAGCAATGCCCCACTGTGCTGGTACCAATTTACTGTATTAGTCTGTTTTCACACTGCTGATAAAGATATACCTGAGACTGGGCAATTTACAGAATAAAGTGGTTTAACTGGACTTACAGTTCCACGTGGCTGGAAAAGCCTTACAATGTTGGCCAAAGGCAGGGAAGAGCAAGTCACATCTTACATGTATGGCAGCAGGCAAAGAGAGAACTTATACAGGAAAACTCCCCCTTATAATATCCATCAGATCTTGTAAGGCTTACTATCATGAGAACAGCATGGGAAAGACCTACCCCCATGATTCAATTACCTCCCACTAGGTCCCTCCCACAACATGTGGGAATTCAAGATGAGATTTGGGTGGGGACACAGCCAAATCATATCAACTCTGTAATCTTGACAGAAGAATGTGGGCTTCCTAAGGACATCATGAATCGAGGAATGAAAATGTGGTAATCCCTCTGGATTTTCTTTTTATATCTCATATACTATAGGATTGGGTGTTGGAGAGGGCTGAAGCCTGCAACCAATAATTGTAGAAAAAACAAAAACAAAAACAAAACTACATAGACAAAAACAAAACAAAACAAACAAAAAACCCAAGAAAGCCTACTCTATCTGGCCAATGAACTGAGAAAGGAGAAGTACAACAGAGATCCAGTGAGGAGTTCTAACCACAACTCTACCAACTAGTCTGCTGGGCAGTCCATGCCTCTGAAAACAGAGCAATAAAGGCCTAGGCCATCCCAGCCCTTTTTCTATAACTGGGTCATCAGTAGGTGTTCCAATCTGGTGGCAGTGGTGGTGACAATGAAGCCCCATGTCTCCCTGCCCTTCACCCCACTGGCATACAGGAATCAAAACCCAGTTTCGTCTGCACTTTATAAAAGATTGCCCACCAAAAACAGGGTGCAAAGGGATATGCTTCTCCCCCTGTAAATAGTATCAGTAGGGATTAGTGGGAACCCCCACAGTGCCAGAAGAAGAAAGCAGGCCAGAATAACATTATAAGTGCTCAGGAAACTAAACTGTCATTGTAGCTAAATCATAAAAAAATAGACCAGAACCTACACACCAACTAAAATAGAAGACTTAAATAAAATCAAAAGTCTCCTAACATAGAAAATATCTAGGATACAATAAAAATTTCTAGGATACAATAAAAATTTCTTGTCATACCAATAAACCAGGAAAACAACAATTTGATTGAGAAGAACAATCAACTGATATCCATACTGAGATGAATCAGATGTTGAAATTATCTGACAAAGATTATAAAGAGCAGCTGTCATACAAATGTTTCAGTTATCAATTACAAATGCCATGGACACAAATGAGAAAACAGAAATCCTCCCCCCTCCCCGCCAAAAAATCAAAGTTTTAAAAAGGGCCACATAGAAGTTATAAAATTTAGTAATCAAGTTAAATCTTACTAGATGGATTCAGTAGTGGAATGGGGATGACAGAGGATAGAATTGGTAAGCATAAACATAGATCAATAAAATTTACTCAATCTGAATAACAGAGATAAAAGGCAAAAAAAGGGATCCTCAGGATTCTGTGGGATAATAACAAAACATATATTAGGTTGGTGCAAAAGTAATTGTGGTTTTTTCCATTAAAATTAGGATCCCAGAGGAGATGAGAAAAGGTGTGAGACTGAGACTGAAAAGGTATCCAAACAAATAATTGTGGAAACTTCCAAATTTGGTGAAAAACATAAACTTGCAAATGAAACTATATAAATCTTGCTTTATGAACTTCAAAAGCTTCAATTAGGATAAACTGCAGAAATCAACAGCAAGATACAGCATAATTAAACTTCTGAAAACTAAATACAAAGAAAAAAAATCTTAAAATAGCCAGAGAGAAATGATACATTATCCATATAATAGATTTCTAATCTGAAACCATTGGGCAGAGAGGAAATGAAAGATTTTTCAAGCACTGAAAGAAAAGAACTATTAATCTTGAATTCAATGTCTGGCAAAACAAACCTTCAGGGGAGAAGAAAAAATACAGACATTCTCCAATGAAAGAAAACTAAGAAAATTGTTGTTAATAGACCTACTCTTCAAGAACAGATAAAGGAGGGAGATAGGTAGGAATATGGTAGGCTGGAGGCAAGACTACCTTGCAGCTCCCACTTGGATGGACAGAGTAGCATGTGGAGACCCACTCAAATGGACAGTGTGGCTTGTGGAGACCCACATCCTTAACTTTTGCTCCATGAATTACCAGGAACATACCAGGAAAGCTGAGAGGATCCATAGACCATTTGAAGGAGGTGGATTGCCCCTGCAGGCCCCATGGGACAGGCAAGGAACTGTGAGTTGGCTTGCTTTCTCAGTGGGGAGGCTTGTAGCCTGAAGCAAGTTCCCAGCCCTGCTCACTGGCTGCCTAGAAATAAACTTGGTCCTGTTGGTCGGCTTTGAGGGGTGCGGGGATGGGAGGAGTAACACCAAAATTGTGGGCTGCGGGGATACATGAGAGCTGGAAGAGGCCTATGGCTGCTGGCTATCCCCCACTTCCCTGAAAACTTGTGGGATGCAGCAGGGGCAGCCATAATCCCTCTGGAAACATAACTCCATTGGCCTGAGAACCGCACTGCCATCCCCCATAGCAATGGCAGCAAGCCCTGCTTAAGGACAGTCTGAGCTCAGACATCCCTAACCCTGTCCCCAACTAATGGTCTTTCTCTACCTGCCCTAGCAGCCAAAGACAAAGGACACAACCTTTTGGGAGCTCTATGGCCCTGCCCACCACCTGAGATAGCAGAATAGTTACCCAAAGGTGACTCTAGGAAAGCTAGTATCCTCCCTATACTACTGCAGCTGATGCACTCTTGAAAGCACCACCTCCTGGCTGGAGGCCAACTATCACAAAATGAAGCACACTGAACAAAAATACAAACTCATAGAATTCGCTTCACTCCCCTGCTGCCTCCACCAAAGCAGATGCTGGTCTCCATGGCTAAGAGACTTGAAGACAGGTCACATTACAGGACTCTTTTCAGACACTCCCCAGTATCAGACCAGAGCCTGGTAGTTCCACTGGGTGGCTAAATCCAGAAGAGAGAGGAAAAAATTAATCACTGCAGCTTAGCTTTCAGGAAGCTCCATCCCTAGGGGAAGGGAAAGAGCACTACATCAAGAGAGCACCCTGTGGGACCAAAGAATCAGAACAGAAGCCCTTGAGTCCCAGATCTCCCCTCTGATGTAGTCTACCCAAATGGGAAGGAACCAGAAAAACAATTCTGGTTATATGACAAAAAAATAGTCCCAGCATTTTGGAAAGCCGAGGCATGCAGATCACTTGAGGTCAGGAGCTTGAGACAAACCTGGTGAACATGGTGAATCCCCACCTCTACCAAAAATAAAAAATTAGCTGGGTGTGGTGGCACACACCTGTAATCCAAGCTACTGGGGAGGCTGAGGCAGGAGAATTGCTTGAACCTGGGAAGTGGAGGTTGCAGTGATCCAGGATAGCACCACTACACTTCAGCCTGGGTGACAGAGTGAGACTCTGTCTTTAAATAAATACGTAAATAACAAAAGAAGATTCTCTAACACCCTCCAAAAGATCACACTAGCTCACCAACAATGGATCTAAACCAAGATGAAATCTCTGAATTACCAAAAAAAGAATTCAGAAGGCTGACTATTAAGCCAATCAGGAAGACACCAGAGAAAGGTGAAGTCCAACTTAAAAAAATCAAAAACATGATACAAGATGTGAAAGGAAAAATCTCCAGTGAAATAGACTGCATAAATAAAAAACAATCACAACTTCTAGAAATGAAAGACAGACTTAAGGAATTGCTTTTGCACTGGAAAGCCTCAGCAATAGAATTGAACAAGGAGAAGAAACAACTTCAGAGCTTGAAGACAAGGCTTTTGAATTAACCCAGTCTGACAAAGATAAAGAAAAAAGAATTTTAAAAAATGAACAAGGCCTCCAAAAAGTTTGTGATTATCTTAAACGACCAAACCTAAGAATAATTTGTGTTCTTGAGGAAGAAGAGAAATCTAAATGTTTGGCAAACATATTTGAGGTAATAATCGAGGAAACTTCCCTGGCCTTGCTGATGATCTAGACATCTAAGTACAAGAAGCTCAGAGAACACTGGGAATTTCATTGCAAACAGATCATCACCTAGGCACATAGTCATCAGTTTTTCCAAAGTCAAAACAAAGGAAAGAATCTTAAGAGCCATGAGGCAAAAGCATCAGGTAACCTATAAAGGAAAACCTATCAGATTAACAGCAGATTTCTCAGCAGAAACCCTACAAGCTAGAAGGGATTGGGGTCCTATCTTTAGCCTCCTTAAAACAATTACCAGCCAAAAATTTTTTATCTAGTGAAATTAGGCTTCATAAATGAAGGAAATATAGAGTCTTTTGCAGGCAAACAAAGGCTGAGATAATTCACCAGTACCAAGCCAGCACTATAGGAACTGCTAAAAGGAGCTCTAAGTCTTGAAAATAATCCTCAAAACACACCAAAATAGAATCTCCTTAGAGCATAATTCTCGAAGGACCTATAAAACAACAACACAGTGAAAAATAAAAAAAAAAATCAAGGTATTCAGGCAACAAATAGAAAAGAGAATAGAATAGAACCTCACATCTCAATACTAAGGTTGAATCTAATTGGCCTAAATGCTCCACTTAGAAGATACAAAATGTCAGAGTGGGTAAGAATTTCCCAACCAAGTATCTTCTGTCTTCAAGAGACTCACCTGATGCATAAGAACTTGCATAAACTTAGGGTAAAGGGGTGGAAAAAGATATTCCATGCAAATGAAAACCAAAAGCAAGCAGGAGTAGCTATTCTTATGTCAGACAAAACAAACTATAAGAAATAGTGTTTAAAAAGACAAAGAGGGACATTATATAATGATAAAAGGACTAGTCCAACATGAAAATATTACAACCTAAATATATATGCACCTTACAATGGGGCTCCAAAATTTATAAAACAATTACAAATAGACCTAAAAAATGAGATACATGGCAACACAATAATAGTGGGGGACTTCAATACTTCACTAACAGGACTAGACAGGTCATCAAGACAGAAAGTCAAGGAAACAATGAACTTAAACTACACCCTAGAACAAATGGGCTTAACAGATATTTACGGAGCATTCTACCCAACAACTGCAGAATATACATTCTGTTCATCCACACATGGAACATTCTTCAAGATAGACCATATGATAGACCACAAAACAAGTCTCAAAACATTTAAGAAAATCAAAATTGTAGCAACTATTCTTTCAGACCACAGTGGAATAAAATTGGAAATCAATTATAAAAAGAAACCTAAAAACCGTGGAAAAACATGAAAATTAAATAACCTGCTCCCGAATGATCATTGGGTCAACAAGGAAATCAATATGGAAATTAAAAAATGATTTAAACTGAACGATAATAGTGACATACCTATCAAAACCTCTTGGATACAGCAAAGCCGGTGTTAAGAGGAAAGTTCATAGCATTAAATGCCTACATCAAAAAGACTGAAAGAGCACAAATATACAATGTAAGCACACACTTCAAGGAGCTAGAGAAACAAGAACAAACCATACCCAAACCAAACAGAAGAAAATAAATAACCACGATCAGAGGAGAACTAAATAAAATTGAAACAAAAAAAATTACAAAAGATAAATGAAATGTAAAGCTGGTATTTGAAAAGATACATAAAATTGATAAACCATTAGCAAGATTAACCAAGAAAAGAAGAGAGAAGATACAAACAAGCTCAATTAGAAACAAAATGGGAGATATTACAACCAATATCACAGAAATACAAAAGGTCATTCAAGGCTACTATGAACACCTTTATACACATGAACTAGAAAACCTAGAGAAGATGGATAAATTCTGGTAATATACAACCCTCCCAGATTAAACCTGAAAGATGTAGAAACTCTGAACAGACCAATAACAAGCAGCGAGATTGAAATCATAATGACAAAGTTACCAAGAAAAAAAGTCTTGGACCAGATGGATTCACAGCTGAATTCTATTAGACATTCAAAGAAGAATTGATACCAATCCTATACACTATTCCAAAAGATAGATAGAATCCTCCCTAAATCATTCTACGAAGCCAGTATCACTCTAATACCTAAACCAGGGAAGAACATAACAAAAAAAGAAAACTACATACCAATATCCCTGATGATATAGATGCAAAAGTCCTCAATAAAATACTAGCTAATCAAATCCAACAGAATATCAAAAAGATAATCTACCATCATGAAATGGGTTCCATACCAGGGAGGCAGGGATGGTTTAACATCTTCAAGTCAATAAATGTGATACACCACATAAACAGAAATAAAAACAAAAATCACATGATCATCTAAATAGATGCAGAAGAAAACATTTGACAAAATCCAGCATCCCTTTATGAAAACCCTCAGCAAAATTGGCATAAAAGAGACATACATTTAGGCAATAAAAGCCAACTTTGACAAAGCTGCAGCTAACATTATACTGAATGTGGAAAAGTTGAAAAAATTTTCCCTGAGAACTGGAACCAAGACAAGAATGCCCACTTTCAGCACTATTCAACATGGTACTGGAAGTCCTAGCCAGAGCAATCAGGCAAGAAACAGAAATAAAATGCATCCAAATTGGTAAAGACGAAGTCAAACTGTTGCTGTTGACATGACTGTATACCTAGAAAACTCTAAAGACTCATCCAAAAAGCTCCTAGAACTGGTATATAAATTCAGCAAAATTTCAGGATACAAAATTAATACACACAAATCAGTAGCTCTGCTATACACCAATAGCGACCCAGATGAGAATCAAACCATAACTTAACTTCTTTTACAATAGCTGCAAAAATAAATAAAATAAAATAAAATAATAAAATACTTAGGAATATACCCCCAGTTGCCTCAGGCTCTTCAAGGCCTGAAGGCAAGAACAGCTAAGGCTGCCAAACAGCTATGATGACAGCCTGCACCTCCCTCTGGGAGCTCCATCCCAAGGAGGTTTGAAATGGCTGTCAGCTAGCAAAAACTGGTGGGGGCTAGGCACAGTGGCTCAGGCCTGTAATTTCAGCATTTTGGGAGGCCAAGGCAGGCAGATCATGAGGTCAGGAGATAGAGACTATCCTGGCTAACATAGTGAAACCCCGTCTCTACTAAAAATAAAAAAAATTAGCCGGGTGTGGTGGCATGCACCTGTAGTCCCAGGTACTCAGGAGACTGAGGCAGGAGAATTGCTTGAACTTGGGAAGTGGAGGTTGCAGTGAGCCGAGATTGTGCTACTGCACTCCAGCCTGGGTGACAGTGCAAGACTCCATCTCAAAAAAAAAAAAAAAAAAAAAAGCGAAAAAAGAAGAAAACACTGGTGGAAGTGACTGGAAACCCCAGATGAGAGATTCCACTCAGTAGAGAAATGGGATCCTGGATCCATGTGAACAGTCTGACCACTTCTCTGCAGAGCTGCTGGGCTGTGTTGAGGGACCACCCTGGTGCCTGGTTGCCTCAGACTCCCTAGAACCTAAAAGCAACAATGGTTAAGGCTGTGAGACAGCAAAGATGGCAGCCCCGCTCCCCACACTGGGAGTTTCATCTCAGGGAGGTGAAACACTGCTACCAGTGGCTGGCTGGATTACCAAGTCAGTGGGTCTTATCCTGCAAGGTGCCATGAAAGCAGGGCCTGCAGCCTGTCACTGTTCAGCCCCCTGGATTCAGCCCCTTTCCTAGAAATATGTACCAGGGTCAAAATCCCTGCTTTGTCAGAGTTGCAGCTGCTTTTGCTGGGAAGCCGAGTATCTCTTCATGTGCTTTAGTGGCTGCTCTCCTAAGACTCCATGTAACTCTGTGTGTTGGACTGAAGGCCCTGGTGGAGTGGGTTCATGAGAGGGTCTCCTGACCTGAGGGTTGCAAAGATCCATTGAAGAAGCATGAGTCCCTGGGGTCACTCACTCACTCACTCACCACGTCCCTGGGATGGGGAGGCTCCCTTTGCTTCATGTCATTCCCAGGTGGGCAGTCATCCTGCCTTGGTTTTCTCCAATCTCTATGGGTCAAGTTTTTATCTTAATGAGTCCCAATGTATATACTTGAATGTTTAATCTGAAGGTGCTGTATTTACTCACCACTTCCTTTTCTCTCCACAAGAGGGGCACACACTAGCTGCTTCCAGGCAGCCATCTTGGCCAATCCCTCAGAGCATCATTCTTCACTGTTTTACTTTTAAGCAGCCAATGCCATTACGTTTGAAGTGAGTTTCTTGAAGACAGCATATTGTTGAATCATTTTTAGTTATCCACTCTATCAAACATTGTTCTTGAGTCTTCTTCTTTGTTCTTGTCTTCTTGTGAGTTACTTGAGCATTTTCAGAGTTCCATTATGATTTGTTTATTTTTAAGGATATCATTTTGTTCTGTTTTCTTAATTGTTGCTCAGGATATTTTTGCTCAATATATACATAACTCATCACAACATACTGGGGTTGATATTTTACTACTTCCAATGAAGTATAGAAATCTTACTTTTATTTAGGTCTCTTTACTCTTCATAATTTTAAACATAATTGTCTTAAGCATTTTTTCTACATAAAGAACCTCATCAGATGGTGTATAACTTTTTGCTTTTACCATAAAATATAATTAAAGAAATTCATAATGTGAAAAACAGTCTATTTTATTCCTATTTCTACCTATTCTGTTATTCTTTCCTTTGTAAAGATTCTAGTCTTCTTCTGTTTTCTGTTAGAGAATATATTAACCAAGTACATATGACATTCTCAAATTTGTATGTATCAAATCACAGAACTTCAAAATATATGAAACAAAAACTGATAGAGCCAAAATAAAAAATTGAGAAATTCACAATTATAGTTGGGGAACAAAAAGAATGACTAGACAGCAAATCAGCAAGGATGTGGAAGAACCAAACAACAGTATCAACCAACAGGATACCATCATATTTAGAGAACACTAGGCCCAACAGAAGCAGAACACACTTTCCTTTCAAGTACCCATGGAACATGAACCATGAGAATGCATATGCTGGATTTAAAAAATGATTAAAAGAACTGAAGTTACATAGAGTAAGTTCACTTACATAAAGGAATCAAACTAGAAGTCAATAGCAGAAGATGAGAAAAATTGCTATATACTTGGAATGTAAACAACAATTGTAAATAATCCAGGGTCAAACAAGAAAAATATAATAAAGTAAAAATATATTTAACTGATTAAAATCAATACACAACATATTAAAGTGTGGGATGTAACTAAAGCAGTGCGAAAAATAAATTTATAACACCAAATACTTAAAATTGAAAAAGTAGAAAGACTTCAAATCAATATGATAAGTTCCTGCTTTAAGAAACTAGAAAAGAAGAGAAAAATTAACCCCTCAAAAGCAGAAGGAAGGACGTAAAAAAGATAATGACAAAAAGAAATAACACTGAAAATAGAAAATCAACAGAGAAATTGAGATTAAAAGCTGTTTTTTTAAATAAATGAAACAACACAATTTATAAACCTCTACCAAGATTGACAATGATAAAATGTTGGATTTTAAATATTTATCTTCATTTATTTTTATCCTTAATGTGCACACAAGGAGTTCTGGAACAGAGACAGATTTCTCATTAAATACCTTGTAGTAAATAAACGTATCATACTCCCTTCCCTGAATTCTTTGCCCTAGTCCTTACCCTTGTGCAACGTGATAAAAATCAGGTAAATCTTACGTGAGTAACTAGATACACCACAGGTGAGAGACAAGGCAAAATGATTTTTCACTGCTCAATAAAGGAAGAAGGCAGTGGTTTCTCTTGCTTTAGAATGTCCTCCTTACTTCAGCATATTAGCATGTAAATAAAATCGTTCCAGAAGCCATTTAGCCCATTTCTCTCAGATCTGTAGATGTCTTCAAGTTTTTGGCCTCATTTTTCCTTGAAATGTAGATAACCAGGGAGACAGTGTTCCAGAATTCCTGGCACTTTAGAGTTTAACCCAAGAACCTAGCCCAGAACAGTAATCATTGATAATATAAAAAAAAAAAGTTTTCTCTCCTTTCTGATTACTGTAATTAACAAGGCAAATAAATACAAATATTATATGAAAAAAATCATGAAGCTGATGCTTTTTGAAGTAGCATCAGGAAATCCAGGGAAATTTTATTTTCCCACATAAAATGAAAGAAGACACAAATAGTTGATATCAAGAATGAAACAGGGCATAGCAGAACAAGTTTTGCAGCCATTAAAAGCATAATAAGACATATTACAAATGATTTATGCTAATAAATTTGACAACCTAAAAGAAATAAACCAATTTATTGGAAACCACAAACTACCAACACTCAGCCAAGAAGAAATTGATAACCTAAATAGTTGTCTAACTATTAAGAAAATTGAGTTTATAATTTAAAAGCTACTGAAAAGAAAGATCAGGACCCAGGTGGTTTTAATGGAGAATTTTTACCAAACATTCAAAAAAATTAATAAAAATATGCAATATCTTCCAGAAAATAGAAGTGGAGGAAACACTTCATAACTTCCAATTTTATAAGGCTAGTATTACCTTAATAATACAGCACATACACAAAACAAGCTAAAGATCAGTATCTCTCATGAACATAGATGCAAAAATCCTCAGTAAAATTTTAGCAATCAGAAGTGACATTATGGGGAACGGCAGACTAAAAACTTCTAAAAATTCTTTCCTCTGAAGTAGCAACAAGAACACTGGCAAAAATTGTCAAAATCTACTTTTCAGAATTGTGGAAATTAACAAGGCTTGCAACCTTCTGTGGGAAATTGACTCCCAGATGTTTCACATTATATTATTTATAATGTCTATTTTTAACAAGAAAATCACAAGATATGCAAAGAAATAAGAAAGCATGGCTAATATACAGGAAAAGAAAAAAAAATAGTTAATAGAAACTAGTCCGTGGGAAACCTAAGATGATGAAGACTGAGACAAAAATTTTAAATCAGCTATCATAGAACTAACAAAGAGTATGAAAACAGGTGTCTTCTCAAAAGAAAATATCAATAAGGAGGTAATATAAGAAAAAAGAAAAGAAATTATGCAGTTGAAAAGTAGAATAAAATAAAACTTTTACTACATATTTGTAGTAATTTGAAGAGGCAGAATAAAAATCTGCCAACTGGAAGATAAGGTAATTGAAATTATTCAGTTTGAGGAACAGGAAGACTAAAAAATAAAACACCACAGACACAGAGATCTGCATAATAGCATCAAGCATACCAAAATAAGCAAAATATGAGTCCAAAAAAAGAGAAAAATGGGCAGAAGAATGTTTGAATATTATGGTTAACTGCCAAGATTTGATGAACATTAATTTGCACACACAGGAAGCTCCATGAGCTCCAAGTAGAATAAATTCAAAATGATTCATGCCTAAACACATCATAATTAAATTGTTGAAAGCTTAAAACAAAGGCAGAATCTTGAAAGCAGCAAAAGAGAAGCAACTCATCACACATAAAAAGCTTGATAAGATTAACAGCTGTTTTATAATCAGAAATCAAGGAGACCAGGAGGCAATGGGATGACATATTAAATGTGCTGAAAGTTGTGTTGGTTACATGAAGCTACACATGTGATTAAATTCCAGATAGCTACACACACACACACACACACACACACACACACACACACACACACATATATATAACTAGCATATATATGTATATATATATAACTAGCATATATATTTATTCATATATATGAATAAACTAGGATTTGTACCAATGCCAATTTTCTGGTTTTGATATCATACTGTAGTCATCCAAGATGAGGAAGGCTGCGTGAATGATGCATGGGACATTCCTATGATTTTTTTTTTTGCAATTTGACATGAACTTATATGTATTCCAAAGTAAAAACTTTTTAAAAATATAACTATTAAACTTATGAGTATCAAGTAAAATATTACTATTAAACAAAATTCTCAAAGTTCCTGTAACAGTAATAATGAAAACATGAGTATTGTAATTTTACTTTTCTATTTCCCAATGCAGTGTGTGTCACCTCAACCTGATATCAACCTCCTAGTTGCATTCCTGAATCGGTGCTAGAATTGTAGTGTGACCTTTGGCAAGCCATTAAGTTTATAAACTTTTAAGAATCTTCATCTACTTCTAACAAGTGGATTTAATATATGACATTAGACAACATGTGTTTTAGTCTTTTGAAAGGAAAGTGGCATTTTATTTAAAAAAACAAGACAGTCAAAAATTTTTCTAATTCAAATTAAATTTATAGTTCCATTAGAAAAAGCAAACAATGTATACATAAAATAAAGATTTTCATGAATTTCTGTATCTTAATGATGTTGGCCTACTTCATTTTATATATTGAATACATTTCAAATCTGTGGCTCCCAATAATCTTAGTTATCTATCTTTTGTTAATATTTTTTATATGCTCATTGAATTCACAGGATTGCTTTTATCCCTAGAAACTTCCCTCTGCCCTCTAAGTTTCTGTTTCATTTTCAACGTATGATGTCTAGTTTTAGAATATTCTGGAGTACTCTTCTCACGTTAGAATATTTAAATGTCATGTTAAATTAAAAAGCTTTTGATATCATTGATTGGTCTCTTACCCATCAATAGCAAGGCAAGTCACAAGAATAACTGCAGTTTCTGCCACTGTCATGGACAGCATTTGATTTGCTGTGTCTTGAGGAAAGTTTGATTTATATTGAGATTTGACAAAATATTTGATTGCTTTTGGAGATTTGGGTAATTCCTTCATCGATTTGCATTGTCAAGCCACGAGAATGCCATGAACTGTTCTTGTTTACATAATTTCCTTCTATGGATAACAAATCCAATATGAAAAAATATCCTGTAAGTCCTAGGCTCATGCCTTCTCCCTTGTAATGTCAGGAATTCTTTTCCTTCCTCATATAAACCTGAGCTTTAGACTATCAGTTGCTCAGAAATCTTGATGAAATGGGTGCTATGAATAAGTCAAATTTAAGAGTTTCAGGATTAGAAAAAGAAAAGACAAAAAGCCAGAAGTGACTACCTTTAGAATTCCAATGAAGAAAACCCAATATAAGCTGTATATTTCCCCGAGGAAAGTCTTCAAGCAAAAGTTTTATTTTGCATTTTTTAGAATTTTTGTCTGTTTCTGATTTAATCTATTTCTCTGACCACATCAGATAATCAGCACAATGATACAGTCATTTCTGGTGAATATACAATCCAGACTTAGAACAAGATCCAGAAGTTTTAATAAATGGTCCTTACAGGAAACCAATTATGGGGGAGTCTGTGGTTTGAATCTAGTTTCAGGGAGCACAAGGGTTTGTTTCACCTTAAACAAAGATAGCCTTTCATGCACAGAATAATTCTGAAAAGCAAGAAGACTGTATTTTCAGTAGGATGTATGTGAAATGTGGCTCCTTATGAAAGAAAATATTTGCGATGCATTTTTTCCACCAGGATGACATTTTGTACAGCTTACAATTCCATTCACTAATGGTGTAAACAAAAATTTTTAAGTGCCACTATGAGGGCTTAGTGCTATATTGTTTATAAAACGTGTTAAATTTTAGACTTCGTTTTCATTAGATGTCTTATCACTACTATGCAACCTGAGATCTATAAGACTGACAATAACGTACATTTACCAAGGTGTTTTTCCTCGTCTTATGACTCCTGTCTTTTCTCCATCCTTACCAAGAGGTAGCCGCCGAACTGAATTCTATTTTAACAGAACACAGCTTTAAAAAGTTTCATCATACATTCATACATAGCTTTAAAAAGTTTCATCATACATTCATACATACATTTAAGCCTAACATTATATGGTTTTGTTAGGTGTTTTAAAACAATAAAAATTTTTTAAAGGTAGAAGTAATGGAAATACCTATTAGCATGATGTTTATAGTAGAATTTTTAGGTTAGAGAAAAGAAGTTTTCTTGTTTTCCCGGTTTACTAATTTTTTTTTTTTTTTTTGAGAGGGAATCTAGCTCTGTTGCCCAGGCTGGAGTGCAATGGCGCGATCTCGGCTCACTGCAACCTCTGCCTCCCGGGGTCAACCTCTGCCTCCCTGTCTCCTGCCTCAGCCTCCCGAGTAGCTGGGACTACAGACGTGTGCCATCATACCTGGCTAATGTTTTGTAATTTTAGTAGAGACGGGGTTTCACTATGTTAGCCAGGATGGTCTCGATCTCCTGACCTCATGATCTGCCCACCTCAGCCTCCCAAAGTGCTGGGATTACAGGCGTGAGCCACTGCACCTAGCTACTAATAATTTTTATCAAGAATTTGTGCTACATTTTATCAAATTTTTTGTATAGACTTTCTATTCTTTTTCTCTTTCTATTGAGATGATCAATGAAGAATGGCATTTATATACGAAATGTTAACCTATCCTAATATTGACCCATCCTTACATCGTTCCATTGCTGGGATAAACCTATCTGGTCGTATGTGATCTGTTTTACATGATATGAGAGAGAGAGAGAGACATTCATAAGGAAAGCCTATAATTGTTTTTGTGTACGTGTTGTATTATTATTTTAAAGGTTTGAGATATAGTCTATTTTTCAATTGTCCAGAGGAGTTTCTAGTAGATTACAATGGTCTATTCCATGAAAATTTGGTAGAACCCACTTGTAAATCATTTGAGACTCTTATTTTCTTTATAATTTTAAACTATGGTTTCAAATATAGGAGTTTTTGCATTATTATTTTTTAAGAGTCTGTTTTGGTAAGTTACATTTTTCAAGAATTTGTCAAAAGTAACTAAATTTTAAAATTAATTATAAAGTTGATATTTATCATTTTTATTACATTTGTAATATCTGCTTTATCTGCAGTAATCTCTCCCACACCTTAATCAAAATATCATTTACATATAATCTCCTTTTTTCTTTATCAATATTTTTAGAGGTTTAACGTTTCATTTATCTTTTCAATAGCCAATGTTTCTTTTTTAAGCCTCTTTTTGCTTTTTATTTTACTAGTATCTATTATGTTTATTATTTTTACTTTTCTTGTCTTAAATTTAGTTTTTTATTTCAATAGGTTTTTGGGGAACAGGTGGTGTTTGGTTATATGAATAATAAGTTCTTAGCGATGATTTCTGAGACTTTGGTGCACTCATCACCCAAGCAGTGTACACTGTACCTAGTGTGTAGTCTTTTATCCCTCATCCCACTCCCACCTTTTCTTCCAAGTCCCCAAAGTCCATTGTATCATTCTTAATGCCTTTGTATCCTCATAGCTCAACTTCCACTTATGAGTGAGAACACAGCATGTTTGGGTTTTCATTCCTGAGTTACTTCACTTAGAGAATAATAGACTCCAACTCCATCTAGGTTGCTGCAAATGCCATTATTATTATTATTATTATTTTCGTCATGGCTGAGTAGTGTTCCATACACACACACACACACACACACACACACACACCACATTTTCTTTATCCACTCTTGTTGATTGATGGGCATTGGGCTGGTTCCACATTTTTCAATTGTGAATTGTGCTGCTATAAACGTGCATATGCAAGTATCTTTTTAATATAAGGACTTCTTTTCCTCTGGGTAGATACCTTTTTGATTATGGCCATTGTTGCAGGAGTAAAGTGGTATCACATTGTGGTTTTGATTTGCATTTCCCTTATCATTAGTGATGTTGAGAATTTTTCCATATACTTGTTGGCCATTTGTATACTTTCTTTTGAGAATTTTCTATTCATATCCTTAGCCCACTTTTTGATGGGATTGTTTTGTTCTTGCTGATTTGTTGGAGTTCCTTGTACATTCTGGATATCAGTCCTTTGGTGGATGTGTAGATTATGAAGATATTCTCCCACTCTGTGGGTTGTCTGTTTACCCTTCTGATTATTTATTTTGATGTGCAGAAGCTTTTTTTTTTTTTTGAGGCGGAGTCTCGCTCTGTCACCCAGGCTGGAGTGCAGTGTCGCGATCTCAGCTCACTGCAAGCTCCGCCTCCTGGGTTCACGCCATTCTCCTGCCTCAGCCTCCGGAGTAGCTGGGACTACAGGCGCCCACCACCACGCCCGGCTAATTTTGTTGTATTTTTAGTAGAGACGGGGTTTCACTGTGTTAACCAGGATGGTCTTGATCTCCTGACCTCGTGATCCACTCGCCTCAGCCTCCCAAAGTGCTGGGATTACAGGCGTGAGCCACAGCACCTGGCTAGAAGCTTTTTATTAATAATTTAAGTAAGTCCCATTTATTTATCTTTGTTTTTGTTGCATTTGCTTTTGGGTTCTTGTTCATGAAGTCTTTGCCTAATCCAATGTCTAGAAGGATTTTTCCAATGTTATTTTCTAGAATTTGTATGGTTTTAGGTTTTAAAGTTCTTGATACATCTTGAGTTAATTTTCACATAATATGAGAGATGAGGATCCAGTTTCATTCTTCTACATGTGGCTTGCCAATTATCCCAGCACCATTTGTTGAATAGGGTGTCTTTCCTCACTTTATATTTTTGTTTGACTATTTTTATACCAGTACCATGCTGTTTTGGTGACTATAGTCTTACAGTATAATTTGAAGTTGGGTAATGTGTTGCTCCCAGATTTGCTCTTTTTGCTTAGTCTTACTTTGGCTATGCAGGCTCTTTTTTGGTTCCACTTGAATTTTTTTATTGTTTTTTTTCTAGTTCTGTGAAGAATGATGGTAGTATATTACTGGGAAGTACATTGAATTTTTAGATTGCTTTTGGCAGTATAGTTATTTTCACAATATTGATTCTACCTATTCATGAGCCTGGAATGTGCTTTCATTTGTTTGTGTCATCTATGATTTCTTTCAGCAGTGTTGTGTAGTTTTCCTTGTAGAGGTCTTTCAGCTCCTTGGTTAGGTATATTCCTAAGTATTTTGTTTTATTTTATTCTTTTGCAGCTATTGTAAAAGGGATTGAGTTACTGACTTGATTCTCAGCTTGGTCACAGTTGGTGTATAGCAGAGCTACTGATTTGTGTGCATTAACTTTGTATCCTGAAACTTCGCTGAATTCATATACCAGTCCTAGAAGCTTTTTAGATGAGTCTTTAGGGTTTTCTAGGTATACAATCATATCATCAGCAAACAATGACAATTTGACTTTCTCTTTACCAATTTGGATGCCTGTGATTTCTTTCTCTTTTCTGATTGCCCTGGCTAGGACTTCCAGGACTACGTTGAATAGAAGTGGTGAAAGTGGGTATCCTTGTCTTGCTCCAGTTCTCAGGGGAAATGCTTTTAACTTTTCCCCATTTAGTATAATGTTCCCTGTGGGTTTGTCATAGATGGCTTTATTACATTAAGATATGTCCCTTCTATGTTGATTTTGCTGAGGGTTTTAATGATAAAGAGATGTTGGATTTTGTCAGATGCTTTTCCTGCATCTATTGAGATGATCATGTGATTTTTGTTTTTAATTCTCTTTATGTGGTGTATCACATTTATTGACTTGCAGATGTTAAACCATTCCTACATCCCTGGTATGAAACCCATTTGATGATGATGGATTATCTTTTTGATATGCTGTGGAATTCAATTAGCTAGTATTTTGTTGGGGACTTTTGCATCTATGTTCATCAGGAATATTGGTCTGTTGTTTTCTTTTTTTGTTATGTTCTTTCCTGGTTTTGGTATTGGGTTGATACTGGTTTCATAGAATGATTTAGGGAGGATTCCCTCTTAGTCTATCCTGTGGAATAGTGTCAATAGGATTTGTACTAACTTGTCTTTGAATGTGTGATAGAATTCAGCTTTGAATCTATCTGGTCCTGGCTTTCTATTTGCTAGTGATTTTTAAATTACCATTTCAATCTCACTGCTTGTTATTAGTCTGTTCAGAGTTTCTACGCCTTTCTGGTTTAATCTAGGAGGGTTGTATATTTCTAGAAATTTATTCGTGTGCTCTAGGTTTCCTAGTTTATGTGCATAATGGTGTTCATAGTAGCCTTGAATAATTTTTTTGTAGTTTTATGGTATCAGTAGTAATATCTCTCATTTGTTTCAAATTGAAATTATTTAGATATTCTCCCTTTTTTCTTGGTTAATCTCACTAATGGCCTATCAATTTTGTTTATCTTTTCAAAAAGAGAGCTTTTTGTTTTATTTATCTTTTGTAATTTTTTTGTTACAATTTCATTTAGTTCTGCTCTGAATTTCGTTATTTCTTTTCTTCTGCTGGATTTGGATTTGATTTGTTCTTGTTTCTCCAGTTCTGTGATTTGTGAGCTTAGAATGTCTATTTGTGCTCTTTCAGACTTTTTGTTGTAAACATTTAATGCTATAAACTTTTCTCTTAGAACTGCTTTTGCTCTATCCCAGAGGTTTTGATAGGTTGGGTCACTATTATCATTCCGTTTATAGAATTTTAAAATTTCCATCTGGATTTCATTGTTGACCCAATGATCATTTAAGAGCAGGTTATTTAGTTTCCTTGTATTTGCATGGCTTTCAGGGTTTCTTTTGGAGTAGATTTTCAATTTTATTCAGTTGTTATCTGAGACAGTACTTCATATAATTTCAATTTTATTGAATTTACTGAGACTTTTTTTTTGCCTGTAATATGGTCTATCTTGAAGAATGTTCCATGTGCTGATGAATAGAATGTATATTTTGCAGTTGCTAGGTAGAATGTTCTGTAAATATCTGTTAAGTTCATTTGTGGTAGGTTATGATTTAAGTCCATTCTGTCTTGATGACCCGTCTAGTGCTGTCAGTGGAGTATTGAAGTTCCCCATTATTATTGTATTGCCATCTATTTTATTTCTTAAGTCTATTAGTAATTGTTTCATAGAGTTGGGAGCTCCAGTGTTAGGTAAATATATATTTAGAATTGTGATATTTTCCTGTTGGCCTAGTCCTTTTATCATTATATTATGTCTATCTTTGCCTTTTTTAACTGCTGCTGCCTTAAAGTTTGTCTGATATAAGAGGCTGCTTCATCTCCAACCACGGCAAAAATTGGCCAAGGTACAGCTCAGGCCATTGCTTCAGAGTCTGCAAGCCCCAAGCCTTGGTGGGTTCCAAGTGGTATTGAGTCTGTGGGTACCCAGAAGTCAAGAATTGAGGTTTGGAAACCTCCACATAGATTTCATAGGATGTATGGAAATGCCTGGGTGTCCAGGCAGAAGTTTGCTGCAGGGGTGGGGCCGTCATGGAGAATCTCTATTAGGGCAGTGTGGGAGGAAAATGTGGAATCCAAGCCCCCACACAGAGTACCCACTGAGGCACTGCCTAATGGAACTGTGAAAAGAGAGTCATTGTCTTCCAGAACACTAGAATGGTACATCCACCAACAGCTTGCACTGTGCGCCTGGAAAAGACACAGGCACTCAATACCAGCCCATGAAAGCAGTGGAGAGTGGGGCTGTACCCTGCAAAGCCAGAGAGGTGGAGTTGCCCAAGACCATGGGAGCCCACCTGTTGCATCAGCATGATGTGGATGTGAGACATGAAGTCAAAGGGGATAATTTGGGAAATTTTAGTTTTAATGACTGCCCTACTGGATTTCAGTCTTGCATGGGGCTTGTAGCCCCTTTGTTTTGGCCAATTTCTCCCACTTGGAACAAGTGTATTTACCCAATGCCTGTATCCCCATTGTATCTAGGCAGTAACTTGCTGTTGATTTTACAGGCTCATAGGTGGAAGGGACTTGTCTTGTGTTAGATGGGACTTTGGACTTGGACTTTTGAGTTAATATTGGAATGAGCTAAGATTTGGGGGGGCTGTTGGAGAGGCATAATTGTGTTTTGAAATGTGAGGACATATGATTTGGGAAGGACCAGGGACCAAATGATATGATTTGGCTCTGTCCCCACCCAAATCTCATCTTGAATTATAGTTCCCATAATCCCCACGTGTCATGGGAGGGAACTGGTGGGAAGTAATTGAATCATGGGGACAGTTACCCCATGCTGTTCTTGTGATAGTGAGTGAGTTTTCTTGAGATATGATGATTTTATAAGGGACTACCCCTTTGCTCATTTCTCATTCTTCTTCTTCCTGCTGCCATGTGAAGACATGTTTTCCTGATGCCTCCCTAACCCTGTAGAACTGTGAGTCAATTAAACCTTTTTCCTTTATGAATTACCCAGTCTTGGGCAGTTCTCAATAGCAGCATTCGAATGGACTAAAAAGTCTGAATGGAGATACACCATCAGCTCACATAGGTATCCAGGTCATAGGCTGTATAGCTTGACATTTCTTAGCTTCCATAATCATGTAATCAAATTTCTTATTATCTGTCTATCATCTATCTATCTATCTATCTATCTATCTATCTATCTATCTATCTATGTATCTATCTATCATCTTTGTCCTATTTTTTCTGTTTGGAGAATTCTAACACAAATTTCGGTAGAGAGAGAGTTTCAGAGAAACAGAATTTTCCAAGTTGGTTCTGGGATTTCTGGAATTTGCTGTTTAATCTGATTAGATTTGAAGACCCTAATTACCTTATTTCAAGTAGTAAAGAGCACACAGATGTACATGACTTGATATAGCAATAGAGAGACACAAAATATTACTATTGAATATTCTTAATCCATAATATAAGAAGCAGGGATCTGGGGGACTGTGTATATGATACTTTTGAACATTTTTTTGCAAATTAATTTATATAATGAGATTAAATGGTTGCTTCTATTGTTGCTGGACAAAGTGGGGATAGAAAAGGATGAACGCAGGGGCTTAAATTTCAGCCCAAGGGCCACATGAATCACCTTATATGTGCCCTCAAGGAGACCCATATCTCCTTTAGCATGACTGGAATTGCCAAAAATTAAACACAGAATCTCATTTTCCAATTGGCTTAATTATAGTTCAGTTGAACTCCCAGACCGACAGAATATCTACTGTTTATGTGAGGACTAGGAAGGAATGAAACCTTGACTAGGAAGGAATGAAACCTTAAAATTTGGAATGGGGACATGTGGGAAAACCTTGATGAAGGATCTTGGGGACATTGAGTTTGATTTCGGGAAGGCTGTTAAATGTTCAAGGTTTAAAAAACTTGTTATTATGAAATAGAATTCCAGATTACCGTAAGTTATTTTGCCAAAATAAAGACTCAGAAATTTTAAGGTAGAAAAACCTTCTATAACCCTTTACAAATTTGGCCATAGAGCAGACTAGCACCTTAGGAAAACCTTGTTTGCTTTATTTCAATGCTCAATTTACAGAAAAACCGGATAATACCCTTTTTTGAATTTAGTCAATATGTTTACACTGAGAACCTCTTCTGCAAGATTAATTTCCACAATTCTTCCGCCACTTCTTTGAACCTTCAGCTTTTTCCTAATGTAACTCAAAATTATCCTTTAACCCTAGGCAGAAGTTTACCTTTACATGACTTCTTATAACCTTTTACTGAAAAACACATTTTACTGTGCTTATACACCTTGCATGTAAATCTATTTTCAGTAGTTTCATGGTAACTCCTAGCAATTTTTAACTTTAAGGTAAAACCTGGTAAGTTGCTTTAATTTTGTTCTAAGTGTAGCCAAGGTTTGTCTTCTTAATTAAGGGTGTGGTTAGTTCCATATGTCCCCAGGCCCTACCAATTGTGAAACAGGCAAAACAGACAATTTTCAAAACCCAAAAAGCAGTTTGTAACCTTAAAATATGTAGCAAACCTTGCATCTGACCTGCATTTTACCAATAAACTTTAAGACTGTTTTTACTTTCAAAGATTAAAGTCACATGAACAAAAAGGTACTACAGCTTTTAACTTTCCTTAAAAAAATGCTTGATCCAAGCACTTGTCTCACTTTGTCACCCAGGCTGGAGTGCAGTGGCATGATCTCGGCTCACTGCAACCTCTGCCTCCTGGGTTCAAGCAATTATCCTGCCTCAGCCTCCTGAGTAGCTGTGACTACAGGTGCATGCCACCATGCCCAGCTAATTTTATGTATTTTAGTAGAGATGGGGTTTCACCATGTTGCCCAGGCTGGTCTTGAACTCTTGAACTCAGGCAATCCACCCTCCTTGGCCTCCCAAAGTGCTTGGATTACAGGCATGTGCCACTATGCCCAGCTGCACTTGTCTTTCTTTAGGCCAAATTAATTAGAACTCTTCTTACAGACATCACACACAGTATACACACAAACGAGCAGAAGAAAACCCAGTTGCTGGTTGGGTCCCTTTAAGAGACAGGCTAGGAAAACATGCAGATATTCAACCAGAGAGGGCTTAACCCTAAGGCAGGATTGCTAAATAAAGTTTTCCCAAGCTCCCAAGCGGTTACTGGCCATGCCCCCAGGATGTAAAACAAGATGGAGGTTTGCAGCACAAACCATACAGAAATGCAAAGCGCACCAAATTGGCCACAGCCGAAGGTTAGCCCCACAAATCCTTTTTCACAATTAAACCTTTAAAGAGAATAAGTTAACTGCTGTTGGAGTTGAGAAGAGGAAAGAAAAAAGTTTAAAAATGCCTGGGGGAGAACTTCTTATTCTTATGCAAGTGCTTCCTCCAACAGGGAGATAAATTTAATTCCTGTGGGTCAGAGCTGGCCTCCCTGGAGCGAAGAGGAAGACACTCCATGGGCACGAGGCAGAAACTGCCAGTCAGCTACTCAAGGCAACTTGGGCCATGCGTCCCAGCCCAGCAGGGAGGGGAGGGCGGTGGGGAGCCGCTGCTTACTGGACCCTCTGGAAAAAGGAAGCAAAGGGCTGTGTCCGGAATTGGTGGGTTCTTGGTCTCACTGACTTCAAACATGAAGCCGCGGACCCTCACAGTGAGTGTTACAGTTCTTAAAGGCGGCGTGTCCGGAGCTTCTTCCTTCTGATGTTCGGATGTGTTCGGAGTTTCTTCCTTCCGTTGGGTTCATGATCTTGCTGGCTCAGGAGTGAAGCTGCAGACCTTCGCGGTGAGTGTTACATCTTTTAAGGCTGCGCGTCTGGAGTTGTTTGTTCCTCCTGGTGGGTTCGTGGTCTCACTGGCTTCCGGAGTGAAGCTGCAGACCTTCACGGTGAGTGTTATAGCTCATAAAAGCAGTGTGGACCCAAAGAGTTAGCAGCAGCAAGATTTATTGCAAAGAGCAAAAGAACAAAGCTTCCACAGTGTGGAAAGGGACCCGAGCAGGTTGCCACTGCTTGCTTTGGCAGCCTGCTTTTATTCTCTTATCTGGCCCCACCCACATCCTGCTCACTGGTCCATTTTACAGAGAGCCAATTGGTCTGTTTTACAGAGAGCTGATTGGTCCGTTTTGACAGGGTGCTGATTGGTGCATTTACAATCCCTGAGTTAGACACAAAAGTTCTCCATGTCTCCACTAGATTAGCTAGATACAGAGTGTCTATTGGTGCATTCACAAACCCTGAGCTAGACACAGGGTGCTGATTGGTGTGTTTACAAACCTTGAGCTAGATGCAGAGTGCTGATTGGTGTATTTACAATCCCTTAGCTAGACATAAAGGTTCTCCAAGTCCCCACCAGATTAACTAGATACAGAGTGTCGATTGGTGCATTCACAAACCTTGAGCTAGACACAGGGTGCTGATTGGTGTGTTTACAAAGCTTAAGCTAGATACAGAGTGCTGATTGGTGTATTTACAATCCCTTAGCTAGACATAAAGATTCTCCAAGTCCCCACCAGACTCAGGAGGCCCGCTGGCTTCACCCAGTGGATCCTGCACTGGGGCCGCAGGTGGAGCTGCCTGCCAGTCCCTTGCCATGTGCCCGCACTCCTCAGCCCTTGGGTGGTCAATGGGACTGGGCACCCTGGAGCAGGGGGCAGTGCTCGTCAGGGAGGCTCCGGCCGCCGCACAGGAGCCCACGGCAGGGTGTGGGGGAGGCTCAGGCATGGTGGGCTGCAGGTCCCAAGCCCTGCCCTGTGGGGAGGCAGCTAAGGCCCGGAGAGAAGTCGAGCACAGCAGCTGCTGGCCCAGGTGCTAAGCCCCTCACTGCCTGGGGCTGGTGGGCCGGCCGGCCGCTCCGAGTGTGGGGCCCTTGGAGCCCACACCCACCTGAACTCGCACCCACCGGAACTCGCACTGGCCCGCAAGCTCTGCGCGCAGCCCAGGTTCCCGCCCACGCCTCTCCCTCCACACCTCCTCGCAAGCTGAGGGAGCCAGCTCAGGCCTTGGCCAGCCCAGAAAAGGGCTCCCACAGTGCAGCGGTGGGCTGATGGGCTCCTCTAGCACGGCCAGAGTGGGCGCCAAGGCCGAGGAGGCGCCCAGAGTGAGCCAGGGCTGTGACGGCTGCCAGCACACTGTCACCTCTCAGGGCTATTGAAAGGTCGGGTTGGTTCCTGACCCCTGGGAGCAACAGGGGGTGGGGGCATAGTTTCCCCTACCCTTAGGAATCCCAGCATGAAAAGGCTTAGAAGTGACAAAGAGAGGTTTTGAGTCTCCATTTCATTCACCATTTCTTGAGCCCCCACATTGCACAGAAAAAATGTTGCTGGACTTTTCCTTAGTTCAGCTAAATATGGGGTCCTTATCCGTCCCACAGACATGAAAATTTAGGCTCACAGACAATTTGAATGGTGAGTAAGACAGGGTTTTATTTATTTACTTATTTATTTTGAGTTTTTAAATTATTATTATTATTATACTTTAAGTTTTAGGGTACATGTGCACAATGTGCAGGTTAGTTACATGTGTATACATGTGCCATGCTGGCATGCTGCACCCATTAACTCATCATTTAGCATTAGGTATATCTCCTAATGCTATCCCTCCCCCCTCCCCCCACCCCACAACAGTCCCCAGAGTGTGATGTTCCCCTTCCTGTGTCCATGTGATCTCATTGTTCAATTCCCATCTATGAGTGAGAACATGTGGTGTTTGGTTTTTTGTCCTTGCGATAGTTTACTGAGAATGATGATTTCCAGTTTCATCCATGTCCCTACAAAGGACATGAACTCATCATTTTTTATGGCTGCATAGTATTCCATGGTGTATATGTGCCACATTTTCTTAATCCAGTCTATCATTGTTGGACATTTGGCTTGGTTCCAAGTCATTGCTATTGTGAATAGTGCCACAATAAACATACGTGTGCATGTGTCTTTATAGCAGCATGATTTATAGTCCTTTGGGTATATACCCAGTAATGGGATGGCTGGGTCAAATGGTATTTCTATTTCTAGATCCCTGAGGAATCGCCACACTGACTTCCACAATGGTTGAACTAGTTTACAGTCCCACCAACAGTGTAAAAGTGTTCCTATTTCTCCACATCCTCTCCAGCACCTGTTGTTTCCTGACTTTTTAATGATTGCCATTCTAACTGGTGTGAGATGGTATCTCATTGTGGTTTTGATTTGCATTTCTCTGATGGCCAGTGATGATGAGCATTTTTTCATGTGTCTTTTGCCTGCATAAATGTCTTCTTTTGAGAAGTGTCTGTTCATATCCTTTGCCCCCTTTTTGATGGGGTTGTTTGTTTTTTTCTTGTAAATTTGTTTGAGTTCATTGTAGATTCTGGATATTAGCCCTTTGTCAGATGAGTAGGTTGTGAAAATTTTCTCCCATTTTGTAGGTTGCCTGCTCACTCTGATGGTAGTTTCTTTTGCTGTGCAGAAGCTCTTTAGTTTAATTAGATCCCATTTGTCAATTTTGGCTTTTGTTGCCATTGCTTTTTGTATTTTAGACATGAAGTCCTTGCCCATGCCTATGTCCTGAATGGTAATGCCTAGGTTTTCTTCTAGGTTTTTTATGGTTTCAGGTCTAACATTTAAGTCTTTAATACATCTTGAATTAATTTTTGTATAAAGTGTAAGGAAGGGATCCAGTTTCAGCTTTCTACATATGGCTAGCCAGTTTTCCCAGCACCATTTATTAAATAGGGAATCCTTTCCCCATTGCTTGTTTTTCTCAGGTTTGTCAAAGATCAGATAGTTGTAGATATGTGGCATTATTTCTGAGGGCTCTATTCTGTTCCATTGGTCTATATCTCTGTTTTGGTACCAGTACCATGCTGTTTTGGTTACTGTAGCCTTGTAGTATAGTTTGAAGTCAGGTAGCGTGATGCCTCCAGCTTTGTTCTTTTGGCTTAGGATTGACTTGGCGATGTGGGTTCTTTTTTGGTTCCATATGAACTTTAAAGTAGTTTTTTCCAATTCTGTGAAGAAAGTCATTGGTAGCTTGATGGGGATGGCATTGAATCTATAAATTACCTTGGGCAGTATGGCCATTTTCACGATATTGATTCTTCCTACCCATGAGCATGGAATGTTCTTCCATTTGTTTGTATCCTCTTTTATTTCATTGAGCAGTAGTTTGTAATTCTCCTTGAAGAGGTCCTTCACGTCCCTTGTAAGTTGGATTCCTAAGTATTTTATTCTCTTTGAAGCAATTGTGAATGGGGGTTCACTCATGAGTTGGCTCTCTGTTTGTCTGTTATTGGTGTATAAGAATGCTTATGATTTTTGTACATTGATTTTGTATCCTGAGACTGCTGAAGTTGCTTATCAGCTTAAGGAGATTTTGGGCTGAGACAATGGGGTTTTCTAGATATACAATCATGTCGTCTGCAAACAGGGACGATTTGACTTCCTCTTTTTCTAATTGAATACCCTTTATTTCCTTCTCCTGCCTAATTGCCCTGGCCAGAACTTCCAACACTATGTTGAATAGGAGTGGTGAGAGAGGGCATCCCTGTCTTGTGCCAGTTTTCAAAGGGAATGTTTCCAGTTTTTGCCCATTGAGTATGATATTGGCTGTGGGTTTGTCATAGATAGCTCTTATTATTTTGAGATATGTCCCATCAATACCTAATTTATTGAGAGTTTTTAGCATGAAGGGTTGTTGAATTTTGTTAAAGGCCTTTTCTGCATCTATTGAGATAATCATGTGGTTTTTGGAGTAAGACAGGGTTTTAACGGGTGAAAAGGAAGAAAAGGGGGAAAAAGACTCTCGCAAGGCCGGAGTTCCTCCCCTAGAGTGCTTCCCACCCACCATTTAATTCCCAGGTTCCTCAGAGGAAGAGGAAGGGCCTGACTCCTCCCTGCCGAAAAGGACATGAACTTCTGTGGCTCCACCCCAGTGCGCAGACTGGTTGGAATTTTTCCACGGAGCCCCTCCAACCTGGCTGTCTCACTATCATGGCATCTCTTGAATAGCCTTACAAAATAACACTAAGTCTCCCCAGGACCCACCCCCATTACCCCATGTGCTTTTAGACCTGTAACTACACACAAGTCCCAGAAGGTCCCTAAAAGTGGGGTACAAAGTGTGACCCATGAGGAAGTACATTACATCCCAAAAGATCTACTTGAGTTTTAAGATTTATACAGACAGAAATCTGGGAAACCTGTGTGAAAATGGATGTCAGTAGTGTGAGACAATGGTGGAAGAAACAAAAAGTTGCATCAGGCTGAATTTATTAATGTGGGCTAATTAAGCAACAGTTCTGGATTTAATGTTGCAGTTCAGGTAGTTAAAAAGGACTTCAACAATTTATTTGTTTGGTTGGGGACCAAAAGGTGGCCCACAGTGAGTGGGTTGGAAATGCTGAATCTGCCCTGTTCTAATGTAGAAAAAGGGATTCAAAACCTTTAAAAGATTAAAATGTCAGAATGGATTCGTGATTTAAAACATACTCACCCAGCCTGAAAGGGTCTAGAAGACATACCTTTCATTAATACCGTGGGAAATAAATTTGTAAGGGGAGCCTGAAATCCTTAAAGAGCTCTGTGATTGCTCTTTTCTGTAGGCCATAGCTTACAGAGGGAATTGCAGGTACTGATCTGGGGTATCTAAATGCATTGGGGGTACCTATTCTGGGGTAGCAAGGGTCAAGTGCTGAAACTCAACCTGCAAAGGCAGTGTGTTAATGTAATGAACAGCAGAGTCAAAGCAGCAATCAATATAGTTCAATTTACACAGAACTGTGTATGATGTTGGCTAGTTAATCATGTTATTCCTAGAATTTAAATAGGAAGCCTACCAAATCCTTACTTCATCTGTAGAAGCAGCAAATTCCTAGTTAAGTGACCATGAGTCTAACCTGAGTCAAAAAATTAGAGTTGAGAGTCACAGATCCTCAATGAATTTCCAGACTTGAGCCAGTTTAAAGACCCAGAACAACTTGAATGAACTGGAATCTGAGGCTTCTTGAAGAAAGACCCCCCCCGCCAAACTTTTACTGTTAATCTTTCTCCCAGACTTCCACAGAAGGACCTACAGTCTTTTACTGGAGTAATTGTGTACCGAGGAAAGGAAAATTATCAGACCTTTTGGGAACTACTGGATCTGAACTGACACTAATTTCAGAGACCCAAGACATTAGTGTGGTCTACCAGTTACAGTGGGGGCTTTTGAAGGTCAGGTGCTCAATGGAGTTTTAGATCAGGTCTGTCTTATAGTAACCTAGTGGGTCACTAAACCCATCCTTTGGTTATTTCTCTGGTTCTAGAATGCATAATTGGAATAGATAGGTTCAGCAGCTGGAGGAATACCCACACTGGCTCACTGACATGTGAAATAAAGGCTATTTTGGTGGGAAAGGCCAAATGGAAGCCACTAGAACTGCCTCTACATACGAAAATAGTAAACCACAGACAATACTATACTCCTAGAGGGATTGCAGAGATTAGTGCCACTATCAACAACTTGAAAGATGCAAAAGGTGGTAGTTCAACCACATTTCCATGTAAGTTGCCTATTTGGCCTGCAGAACAGACATATGGATCTTGGAGAATGCTAACGGATTATTGTAAGCTTAACCAGGTAGTGACTCAAATTGAAGCTGCTGTACCAGATGTAGTTTTATTGCTTGAACAAATGAGCACTTCTCCTGGTACCTCATATGCAGCTATTAATCTGGCAAATGCCTTTTTCTCCATCTCAGTCCGTAGAGACTTTCAGAATCAGTTTGCAGCAACTGGCAAGGCCAGTAGCATTCATTCACCATCCTACCTCAGGATTATGTCAACTCTTCTGCCTTACATCATAATTTAGTTTGCAGGGATTTTGATTGCCTTCTCTTCCACCAGATAACACAATGGTATGTTATATTGATGATATTATGCTAATTGGACTTAGTGAGTAAGAAGTGGCAACCATTTTAGACTCATTGGTAAGACATTTGTGAAGATAGAGTAAGAAACATATTCAACCAAGATCAGGGGCCTTCTACTTCAGTGAAATTTCTGGAGGTCCAGTGATGTGGAGCAGGTAGAGATACCCCTTCTAAAAAAAGTTATTGAATTTGGCTCCTCCTACAACCAGAAAAAGTGGTACAATGCTTAGAGGGCTTCTAGATTTTACAGGCCATGTACTCCTTATTTGGGTATGTTACCCCAGCTGATTTATTGAGTGACTCAAAAAGCTGCTAGTTTTGAGTGGGGGTTAGGAAAAAAGAAGGCTCTGCAACAGATTCAGGTTGCTGTGCAAGCTGCTTTGCCACTTGGACCATATGATCCAGCAGATCTATCGGTGCTGGAAGTGTTAATTGCTGACAGGAATGCTGTTTAGAGCATCCTGTTGAACTATTTTAATTGCTGCTTTGACTCTGCTGTCCATCACATTTGCTATACTCACCTCTGCTGTACTCACCTTGCCCTTGGTGCTTGTCAGCATTTGACTTTTGCTCTATAGGTATTGTATTGGGAGGCCTGTATGTGTGAATTGTAATGCAAGCCCTTAGGATTTTGGAGCAAAGATCTGCCATCTTCTGTGTGTAGCTACTCCTCTTTTGAGAAACAGCTCTTGGCCTGCTACTAGACTTTACTAGTTAACCATGGGCCACCAAGTTACCCTGTAACATGATCTGTTCATCATGAACTGAGTGTTATCTGATCCACCAAACCATAAATTTGGGCAGGCAGAGCAGAACTTCATCATCTGACGTAAGTGGTAGAATTTCAGACTCAATCATGGGCCTGAATTATTTGGAATTTGGCATGAGTGACTGATTTATTCTTTCTCATGTATTTATTTATTTAAACATTTATTTGCATCAATATGAACTCATGGATCATTTTTAAACTTTAGGTTATACTACAATACTAATATATATTTTGTGCTCATAATGTTCTAAATTTGGCCTTTAAAAGCTCTTTCAATTGGCTTCAATGTTGCTTTGACATACACCCATTGTTGTGTTTATTTTGCATATTTCCATGCTTTTTGGCACTAGAAGATGCTGCAAGCCCATCTTGTTTATTTCCTGTCCCAGTCCTAGAATCAGCCATTTCTCCCAAGGGCCCTATGTTTTGCTAGGAGAATGGTATTAGAAACCAAGATCTAGACTCTAGTTGCATATAAGAATTTTGACTTTTAATCAGAATGGCCATTGCAGAGTTTTGAGAGAAGAATCATATGTTGTGTGATTTACAATTGTAAAAGTTTCCTCTGGCTACTTTGATGAGACTAGACTGCAAGAGAGCAAGAGTGGAAGCTACTAGGAGGCTACTACAGGTATTTAGGACAGAGGTGATGGCTTTGATTAGGATAGCAGCAGTGAAGGTAGTGAAAATTGGTTAAATTATGACTCCTTTCTGTTTGAGAAAAGTTTATCTTTATTATTTTTCAAATATTTTCTGCTTCTCATTTTGATTTTTTCCTCCTCTGGGACTTTTACTATGCAAATATAGACATATCCACATTTGTTCTATCTATGTCTTAATTATATTTCCATTTTATCCTTTACTACCATTTTATGAGAGAATTTCATAATCCAGTCTCTTAACTCACTGGCTCATTCTTTAGCCATATTTATTCTTTCACTTATCTTGCTTTATTTCTTAATTTTTTTGGCTTCACCAACTATATTTTATATCCTTATTATTATAATTTTTAAAATTAAATTTCTGCCACCACACCATTCTCTGTTCCTGTTCTTTGCTTTATATTTTTCTTCAACAATTATCACCTCTTAATATGCTACACATTTTTCTCATTTATTGTCTATATCCCACTAGAATATATCTTCCATGAGGGCTTTGATTTTGTACTTTTAAAAAACTGCTGTATCCCTACAATCTATTACAGTGCCTGAATACAGTAGAGGCTCAATAAATATTTGTTGAATGAGTAAATTGTTAGAATAGATGGCTTAGATAATCTTGTATTTGAGAGAGTGAGGACACAATTAGATTATGGGAATGTTACGCTACTCTAGCTTTTGGAGAAATAATTTATTCTTGAGCTACCTCAGTTACAGCTATTCAACCACGTGCTTGGTCACCTTAGGCATGGTCACCTTTGGAATTTGCCTTTTATATAAGCGCTGTTCAAATCCACCAATGTCTGAGAAAGGAAATATAAAGAGGCTAAACTGTCAGCCAGAAATTACAGTGAGAGCCTCGATTTTCTCAAGTGGTCTGTGTTTGACAAGGCCTATGGTTATGTAAATTACATTTGTGACTTGATCATTTTCCAAAATGGAGAGAAATTGAGAGTATTTACCTCTAAACTAGGTACTATTTAAGTAAACTGAAGGGAAAAGCTCTCCTTTTTTTGAATCTTCACCCTATCACGGTTTTTTTTTTTTTTGGATTTACATATGTTCCATCTTACTTTTGAAAACAATAATGGTTTCTTTTTTGTTTTTGCTTTGATTGTAACAAGATTTAATTAGCCTGGAGAAAAAATCTAATGAGGATAGAAATTTTTCTTCTGGAAGGCTTCTTGGACTGTTGTTTTTTTTCCCCTCCACATTCCTATTTCTGTGGTAGAGAAGACTGAGATTCCATTAGAATATCTTACAAAATCTGAGTGCTACAGAACACCAATTTGTACTTAAGACAGTTTAGATTGTGGTTACATGTCTGTTTCTCTTGTATACACACACTTGGAGGAGCACACAAGCCTCTATCTAAATGTGAAATGGAAAAATTTATGTCTGTATACATTTAACTTAAAAGGAGACTTTTATAATGTTATTTACCCAAATGTTAAAACAAGGTACGCCTCTTCTTATGTGTATATTTATTGTTGATTTTGCATTATCACCATTTCTTATTGATTGTCATTTTGTTTTCCTCTAGCTTTGTAGTTCTAAAGATTGATGCTGTTTGGGGTCTGATTAACCAAGCCTTTCCCAATTACGTTTTTAATGTATTTTTTACTAAAATGCCTGCAGCTTATGGCACTGCCCCAAGTTGCTTGTTCAGCTAAGGTGCTTGCTCAGCACATCTTTTTTTCCATAAGCATGTCACCTTCAATGAAGTCTCACTTTCCCTATAGAGTACTTTTCATTTGCATTCACATATGTCATCCAAATCCTGTCCTTCCTTTGCACTTGGTATTTTAATTAAGGTTTCTTTACCATGAAGTGGCCGTAATTTATAGGGAATTGGTCGAAAAATGCAAAGAAGAAATGAATATAAAGACATACTTTAATGTATAATCTATTTTTAAACTCTTTCTTATTAAACCATATCAATAATGTTTTAAAAATAAAGGTATTACTTTATTTTTTAGTAAGTGGGTCTGCACAGAGAATACTTCTTAATTAAATAATACATTTAAAATTCATTTATTAAATAGTGGTAGTCAAAACAGAATAGCTAGCAATAGCCATCTCCCCATCTTCCCAAAGGGGCAGTTAAAGAGATCCTTAAGTATGTTTCATAAGAAATATTTTAAAATATTTAGGAAGAAATTACATTAATATGAAAAATATTGTCAAGTATAAGCTTAGCTTTTAAATTCTGGACTTTCTGCTCTTTGTGCTGCTCTCTAGCTGTGATGCAACTAACCATACTGATTCTCATTTTAGAAGGGGTATGTAATAAATATGAGTTAGAAATTTTTAGAGGCCTCACTCAGAGTTTAATAGATTAAACAAATTTGATATATGTAGAAGTACAGAAAATTGAATAGCAAGATCAGTAAAGTTCTGAGCATATATACACCTATATACAAATATATCTTTACAACAAATACAGACTTCATATTCTTTTAAAACACACACAGAATAGTCTCAAATATTGATAATGTACTAGTTCTCCCAAAAGCCCCAATAATTTCTAAGATTACTATCACATAGGTTAGATTCCCTAACCAGAATGGGTAACAAATGGATAGCTATAAAAACTTAGTATGTCGGGCTGGGCGCGGTGGCTCACGCCTGTAATCCCAGCACTTTGGGAGGCCGAAGCGGGCGGATCATGAGGTCAGGAGATCGAGACCATCCTGGCTAACACGGTGAAACCCCGTCTCCACTAAAAATACAAAAATTAGCCGGGCGTGGTGGCGGGCGCCTGTAGTCCCAGCTACTCGGGAGACTGAGGCAGGAGAATCGCTTGAACCTGGGAGGCAGAGCTTGCAGTGAGCTGAGACCGCACCACTGTACTCCAGCCTGGGCGACAGAGCGAGACTCCGTCTCAAAAAACAAACAAACAAACAAACAAAACAAACACAAACAAACAAAAAAACTTAGTATGTTAATATGAATGGCAAACAGGTGTATGAAAAGGTGCTCAACACAATTGATCATCGGAGAAATGCAAATAAAAACTACAATGAGATGTCATCTCACCCCAGTTAAAATGGCTTTCATCCAAAAGATAGGCAATAATGAATCCTGGCAAGGATGTGGAGAAAAGAGAATGCTCATACATTGTTGAAGGGAACGTAAATTAGCACAACCACTATGGAGAATTCTTTGGAGGCTCATCAAAAAACCAACAATAGAGCTACCATATGAGCCAATAATCCCACTGCTACATATACTCAAAGAAAATCAGTATATCAAAGAGATATCTGCAATACCATGTTTATTGCAGCAGTATTCACAATAGCCAAGATTTGAATGGATAATGAAAATATGGTACATATATACAGTGGAATACTATTCAGCCAAAAGAAAGAATGAGATCCTGTCATTTGCAACAACATGGATGGAACTGGAGGACATTATGTTAAAAGAAATAAGCTAGGCACAGGAAGACAAACTTTGCATGTTCTCACTTAATAGCAGGAGCCAAAAATTAAAACAATTGAATTTATGGAGATACAGAACAGAAGGATAGTTACCAGAGGCTTGGAAGGGTTGTGAAGGTGGGGAGAAGTGGGATGATTAATGGGTACAAAAATATAAATGGAATGAAGAAGATCTAGTGTTTGAAAGTACAACACAGTGACTACACTCAACAATTTATTGTGCATTTAAAGACAACTATAAGAGTATAACTGGATGTTTGTTAACACAAAGAAAGGATAAATGCTTGAAGTGATTGGTACCCTCCTCCCCACAAAAACTTCATATGTCAAAATGTGTGAAATAGAGTTAATGTAGCATTTATAAAAAGTTGATAGATTTCATAATTTTTAGGTATCAAAAATGATTGAAAACATAAATTAACTAAATGTTCATATCAAGAAGAAAAAGAGCAATGGAGTAAATTTTAAAAAAAGCAAGAATAAGATGTAATGTACAATAGCAGCAGTAGACACCAATTTTCAACAACCAGATTTGACAAAAATTGTAAAATTGGATAATATCAAGTACTGGCAAGAATGTTGGCAAGAAAGACTATTCACCGCTGGTGACATAATAACTAGTGAGGAAATTCAGAAGAGTTACTTAGCGGTGTCTTAGTGAGGTTTTTTATGTAGATATATTGCAGTTGTATCTTTATTTTAAACAAAGCCCCGAAACTCTTGAAGATATACACTGAGAAAGGTACAAGAATGTTTATCGTAGTGTTGTTTGGAGTAAACAGACAGAAATAGAATGAAGTCTATGGCACAATAAACTTCACGTATTTAAAAAACTATATATAAAGCAACATTATGTATATTTTTTAGAATAAACATCTAAATAAATATATAGATGGCAGATTAGAAATTATATTAGTGAAAACATTGGCTAAACTGCTTCATCAAAGATTTGAATATCCAGACAATCAAATTAAATCAAACTTTTTCCTAACTAAAATAAACAATAAAAATAAAAGTGTATTTCTTATTTATTAATGGCCAGATGGCTCTGCCATTAATACCTGTCTTCCAAGGTTACTCCACAGCCTCCTGGAGATAAATCTATGTACCTTCACAGATGTAAGACAGCTAGCAAGTCTTCTTTTCCAAGCGGGACCCATAAGCTTGTTATTTTTATTAGGCTACTATATAACTGACTGTTGGTAATGTAATGATTGAATGACTATCAATAATGACCATAGCCCATTTCTTTTATATTTTCTTTCCTATAAAAACCACCATTAAGAAGATATAAATGTTTTTAATCTGCAAAGCTTTAGAGTGTATGAGACAATTTTGTGTATATTAATTCATTTTAATTTAAGACCATGAATGCCAATCATTTTTAATGCATAAGTCATAATGCAAACTAGAAAAAAACTACTACTCATGCTGGGCCAGTGAATAAACCTTATCTTCCAGCTAAAATAGTTCTTCTTGCTTGATGGAATTGATGTTTGTCTTCATAGGATATACACAACCTGGATAGAATTAAAAATCTACCTGGTGATGGCAGACATGTCAAGCAGCCATGGGCACAGAAATCCTATTTCTAATAGAGGCAAAATTCTGCCTAGCTGGTAGCACTATTCCTGTTGGGTCATGGTATAAGTGGTTCAGTGCCTGGCATCAGGTACATACCAAATCTATCAACTTGTTGATCACCAGTCAATTGATTGATGACTATATGTCTCACCAGTAGAGGACATAGCAGTATGGTGTTATGCCATGCTCTGTATCTATCTGATGTTTACGCATCTTATTATTGTGTCATGGCCCACCAGAAAGTGTGTTAAAAATACAGAAAATTATATACTTTAGAAGCAGCTCAAAATAGTGCTTGCAAATTTGTCAAAATTTACTTATGAGGCATGGATGCTATTTTCTATATTACTGCATTTATGAAGAGTTTAAGTTATTTAATTCACTTGTTTTTCTCTTTTATGTCAATACAAGAATTACTGACAATGGACCCTGGTTTTATTTATATTTGTTCTATGATTAATAGCACAAAATAGTTGACTTTATTTTCCTGTCAGAATATTTTTGATTAATTGGTTGCCTTGGTTATATGATGTGGATCTCACACCTCCATTTTCTCAGGCAGAATGCTGCCTCTGAACAAAAGAGAGATTTGCTGGTGGCCCTCCAATCATGAGAATGTAGCAATAAAATAAAGAAAATTGATACAGAAAAAAACCTCTTCTTTGATGCACTTTCTTCAAAATATGGGGGAAATTTCCCTATATTCTGCCTATGAGTGGCTTTGTAATAAATTTTCCTCTCAATATGTCATCATAACACATGAGCACTGGGGACTGAAGGGTACTATTTTGCACAATAAAATGAAGAGAGATGGAAAAGGAACAGGATCACAGGGTCTTTTGTCTGCTGCTGCTTTCCTGACAAGACACATGGCTCTAATAATATAAAGGTGCTTGGAACTTGCATTAGGCTGCTATGCAGAGCACAGACCTATTTAGGCAGTCACAGGGGTGCAGCTGCCAATGAGGTTTTGACAAATCCTTTAAACTTTGGTACAGCCTAAGGGCATAGCCAAAAGTGGCAGGATGACCTGAATGTTTACCAGCCTTCACCTGAAAGACCTTGTCTTTAAGCCCACACTGAAGAGTGAAAGTATTTCATGTGGAAAAGGATCTGGTCTATTTTACTTAGAGGTGTAACCTCTCCGTATTTCACACTGATGTTGAGTTGGATGTAAGAGATATTATTTTTCTAATGTGCACACTGAGACTTTTGCTTCTGGTAATATTCTTTCCATTTCCATAAGCAGAAACAACTCTCCTCCCACAGACCCTGAGAAGAGATTGGGCTAGATTGACATTCATGTCCCCCAGAACCTAGCACTGAGTTTATCTTAAAATGCTCATCTTAAGTATATTTGTGCCAAATGGAAAAATGACAAATATGTGCATTTACTTGTATCTGCTGTTTCAAAAATGAGGTTTTGTACATGAGCTGCTTTTATAGACATCTGGAAATTCATTGACCTCATGTTTTCTGTAATATTTATTAATGACAGTTTATGTAAATGTTTTCTATCATCTTTATCTTCTAAAACTGAGCAAATTGATTGACCTTGAGCTGTTTCCAGTGGTCTCAGAGTATTATCATCCTGGCTTGGGCAGAGGCAGGATGAGACAACCAGAGGCCTGACATCAGACAGAGCCCTGGCAGAAGAATGAGTGTGGCTGTCCCCAGGCAGAGAGGGAAGAAGGGGCAAAGAGCCTGTGGGGGTCAGTGAAGAGCCACAGTGAGCAGCCTGCAATGACAGACAGAGGAGTCTGAAATCCAGGTAAAGAAGACTGTGACACAAGGTAGTTCTGACTAGAAAGAGTAGGGATTGAGCCACCAGAAAGGATCAAACACCAGGGAAAACTGGAGAATGAGGCAGATCTCAGAGGATCTGGAGCACTGAACACATGGCCAGGCCAGTCACCATTGAGGAACATAAACCCCCAGTGAAAGGTGAGAATGGAGAGAGAAAGGTTGGCTTCTCAAGTCCCCATTATGCAAGTTTAGGATGAACCAAACCAAACCTTCTAGTTTAGAATTTGGAAAGTATTAAAGCTATAGGTAATAGTGCAGGAGGTGATACAGCAGGGTTTAGAGTTGATAAAACAGTTACTCCATGGATGAACTTTATGAACCAGCTTCCTTAATATACTGTGTGTCCTACAGAGACATTTCTGGAGGTAACTGTTATCTATCTATGTATCTATGTATCTATCTATGTATCTATCTATCTATCTATCTATCTATCTATCTATCTATCTATCAATCTATCATTACCTATGTTTCACTGCATCCAGGGTTCTACACTTAAACAAAATTTTGAGCCATTTTTACTTTCTGGGAGAGTGTTCTCTCCTTGTTGATGATCAGCCATCCCTTATTCATGAGCAAGTGTGTGTGCTTTGAGCTGTTGTTCCCTGCTTTCTAATTTGTGTCTCCCAATCTGTCGCAGGCAGGAAAACCCAATAACCACATTCTGCTGACCTGTCAACAGGACAGTCTTTGGGAATAGTTCAGTGGCAACTCACATATCCAGAGATGCCTTAATATAGAAGACACAGCAGTGGCACAGTTATTCTTGAAAATCCTGTAGGAGAATTCTCTTAGAAGCCAAAAGAAACTTCAGAAAGATCATGCTCCAAGACAGCTGAGTCTCTCAGGCTTCTATCCAGATTTTATTAATATTTACCCTTTACCTTTTAAAGATGTTCCTTTGATTCAATAACAGATCCATGCCTTGGCGTACTTTAGAATTGGTGGTGGGAGAAATAGGCGGTTAATATGATCGGAATATTTAAGAAAATTCCTTCTTATGTGTTTTAACATCTGAGTTAATACTGAATTAACTACATAATTTTCCTATGAAAGCTTTGCTTGACTAATAGTGAATGTGCAATGGATATTATTTTGATGTTTGGAATGATAACACAAAGTTATCCCAAAGGCATGAGGTGTTACTCAATCCTGCAAGTCTTTGTGTTCCAACCTAAAACAAATAAAAAAATAACATCAACAATGATGGCTAATGAGAGTAGAAATAATTGCACAGGGAAATATGAAATTAGCAGTTAAAACTGTTTAATTATAAGGTTTAAGTCTTTCCCATTATTTTATTCGCTTATTATTTATTTTATTTTAAATTTTATTTTTCTCATTCATAGTTTTTATTGTACCTATTGTCTACTTTGTTCTTACTCATGTTCTCCCTTTTTATATTTATATCCTTTTTTATTTCCTATTTTCTGTCTTCCTTCTTTCAAATAATGCATTTTCTTTAGATGCATTTTATTGTTATTTTATCTTATCCCATCCTACCTCTTTGATGTGACATTTTAGTGGCTTTTTTATTATGTCTTTTCAAAAACTACATCAAGAATCAAGTAAATCAAGACTTAGCAGCAACTCAAAACTGAAAAAAAATAACATATTAAAACTGCTAGGCTAAAAGAGATATTTTACATAAAGAGGTTTGCAATTTGACCTCAAAGTCAGCCAACTGGGCATTTTATCTGGCTGAGAAAGGCAGAGAATTGGAGAATGGGAAGGTTTTGTAGCTTTTTTCACCTGCAGTCATATGCCTGTGTTCTTTTAGCCCATGGGCAACAGTGGGAGAGGGTAGATGTGAGACTGTTAAAAGTGGGTTGGTAAAATACTTGGAAATCTGGTGGATGTTTTTTAGTATATTTATCTATAGCCAGCAATTTAATTTCAGTGACAGGTGTATTTAAATCCCTAGCATATCAATCTTGCCAGTACTTTTTAAAATTATTCTTAGACTATTAGTCAAACCAAGATATCTTTTGTGGATCCAAAAAGATTTTCAGTACACCAAACATGTTGAAAACACAAAATTAATTTGGATGACAGAAAAAGTAATGACAGCAAATATTTCAGATAACTAAAATTTATTTTTAAGATCATTTCCTTTATGTTCTCAGTAGGACGGGCTTACCAAATATTGTCTCTCAAAAACAGCCCTTTGAAAAATATCAGATATGCTGCCAACGAAGATGCCAGTGCTGCTAATACAGCAACAATGGCCCATCCCCTCTCCTATCCATTCTCATCCTTATCCTGAACACCTTGCTTTCCTCTCATCATAGCACATAACATTATATGAGAAGAAAACAGAATCTTGCTGCACAAGATGAAGGTATGAAACACAAGGGAATAAAGCAATGATAATGTTTGTCACTCCTGCCTGGATATATAACAAGTGCCTCCTAGGGCCTTTGTTATATAAAGACTTCTTTCCTAAGTTGACATTAAAAACATAAGTCAAGTGGCACAGGAGCCCTTACTGGTTCTGGCAGTGAGTTGCAATGCTTGGCAAAATCTTTTATCTATTCAAAAGGAATAGATATCTCCCCTATTTGTAAAATGAAGAATTGTAATTAATGATTTCAGAAAGTTCTTTCTAACATTCTGTGATTCAAATATAATAGGTAGAATGGCCATATTAAAAATAAATGTTGCAGCTAGGCATGGTGGGTCACGCCTGTAATCCCAGCACTTTGGGAGGCTGAGGTGGGTGGATCACGAGGTCAGGAAATTGAGACCATCCTGGCTAACATGGTGAAACACTGTCTCTACTAAACAAAATACAAAAAAGTTAGCCCAGTGTGGTGGCATGCACCTGTGGTCCCAGCTACTCGAGAGGCTAAGGCAGGAGAATTGGTTGAACCCCGGAGGTGGAGGTTGCAGTGAGCCGAGATTGTGCCACTGCATTCCAGCCTGGGCAACAGAGCAAGACTCCATCTCAAAAAAAATTAAAAATTAAAAAATAAAATAAATAAATAAATAAATAAATGTTGCTTTTTTTTTTTAATTTCTAAAATCCTTTTTGCTCAGTGTGGTGGCTCATGCCTGTAATCCCAATGCTTTGGGAGACTGAGGCTGGTGGATCACTAGAACCCAGGAGATTGAGACCAGCCTGTGTGACATAGTGAGAGCCTATTTATTAAATAATAAATACATACATACCTAAAATTCTTTTTTTAAATGGAACTTTTAGCACAGTTTTATTTCCTGAACAGTGGTATTAGGAATCCTATGGACCTGTCCCCAGTAAAAGAATAATAATTGATAAAAATAAACCAATTAAATTTTAATTGATTAAAAAACCCAATTAAAATCTCTGGAAATTTAGGCACAAATAGCAGACGTAGAAACATTTACTTGGAAAAAATTCTACCAAATATTTGAAAAGAGTCAGAGTCTGTGGCCCTTGAGCCATGACCCACTCATTCCCTCCCAGCCTCCACCTCCCAGTTCATCAGCATAATGGAAATTCCTGGCCTGGTGGTGTGGCCAAAAAGGGGAGGCCACATGTGCCTTCAGCTCCTGATCTAGTGATACAGTATCTCACCCTGGGGAAGCAGACCACCAGCATTTCTCAGTTGCTGGCAAAATTCTGATAAATATGGCCAAGAGGTTGGGGGCTCCCTTCTTTCATTTGTTCCCCATGCATAGACTAGAGGCTCTATTCCAGGCATGGCAAGCCCAAAATGCTGGACTCTGATTGCTCTCAGCCCAAGTCCTAGTAGGGTATTAGTTCTAAGCTGGAAAAGGAAAGACTGGAATACCAGATTCAAAGGACACTTTCAAGAAAGTGAAAAGACAACACGGAGAATGGGTGAAAATATTTGCAAACCATAAATCTGTTAAAGGACAAGTATCCAGAAAATTTGAAGAATTCTTGCAACTCAATGCAAAAAGAAAACAGAATTTAAAGTGGGCAGACATCTGAATAGATATTTCTTCAAAGAAGATATACAAATGGATAATAAACACATGAAAAGATTCTCATAATCATTAGCTATTAGAGAAATGCAAACCAAAACCACAGTGAGCTAACGCTTCATACCCACTATCTCATGGGCTTACATATATACATATAACATATTATCTATATGTAATGTGAGTAAAATAATAACAACTGTTTTCAAATATATGAAGAAATTCAAACCCTCCTACACCTTGATTGGAAATATAAAATGGTGAAGCCACTTTGGAAAACAGTCTGTTACTTCCTCAATTATTTAAAAATAATTTACATATGACCCAGTGATTTGCTTCTAGTATATACCCAAGATATATAAAAACATGTCCACATAAAAACTTGTACATACATGTGTTCTTAGCAGCATTATTCATAATAGCTAAAAGTGAAAACAATTTAAATGTTCATCAACTGATAATGGATAAATATACATACAATAGAATATTATTAATCACTAAAAAGAAATGAAGTACTGATACATGGTACAATACGACATAAATGAACCTGAAAAACATTATGCTAAGTGAAAGAAGCAAATTACAAAAGATAACATAGGCAAATCTATGGATACAGAATGTAGGTTGCCTAGGTCTGAGAGCAGGGTGCTAGGGTGAAATGGGGATACTGCTAGTGAATACAAGACTTCTCTTAGAATGATGAAAATATTCTAAAATTGATTGTGAATATATTAGCTGCCATTGCATTGTGCATTTTAAATCAGTAATAGTATGGCATGTGCATTATATCTTAAAGCTTTCATGAAAAAATGTAAATAAGGACTTTGACTAATGTGTTGTAATTTTATATTTTCTCATTTTTCTATTTCACTTTGTACTTGGTTTATAATATTGTTAGCATATCATTACTACATAAAAGTTTTATTTATTTGAAATTATCAGTAATTTTCTTTATGGCTTTTGTGTATTTCGTCATCTTAATATGAATTTCTTAATGCAATATTGGATGCAAGTTTTCCCTCTTTTTTGTTCCAGCACTTTTACAGTTATTTTTAAACATTAAAATCTTCCATCTATCAAATTATTAAAAACAAAAAACATCTTTTCTTCCTATTTTGCTATGCCATTTTTGTCATATACTAATTGCTGACATTTGATTAAGACTATTTCTGAAAACTCTCCATCTAATCATGACACCATAACATATTATTTTAATGACTGTAGCTGCCAAGTATGTTTTAATAGCTGGTAGCTATAGTCATAAATTATCTCATTTCTAACATTTTAGAATTTTTATGGCTTTTCTTGCATGCTTACTTTGCATTTTAAATTTTTAAATCAGTTAACTAATTTCAATAAATGGATATTGAATACTCATGTTATTTTCATTGGAACCATATAAAATGTGTAGATTCATAGTTTAGATGTCTTTAAAAAACTGTGTTCATATATAGTAAGAAATTAAGTCGTCTTTTATGTTTCTTGGAGTTTTAAAGTTATCTTTGGATGAGAATGACACATTGCTTATTACATTAAAGTTCTCTTTTGTTTTGGCTTTTTTGTCTTTGGTGTCTTATAAATAAGATTTCTTCTCATTTTTTTCTGTGTGATTATTTGTAAACAAAAAAGCTTGACTTATGTATATTAATTTAACCATTATATAACCTATTTTTTCAAGTAATTTTAGTTGTTCTCTTGAATTTTCTAGTCATAATCATGATAAAAAATTGTTCCTCTCTTCAATTGTTATACTTCTTTTTCCATTCACCTCTCTAATTATATTGGTTGGGACTGCCAGCAAAAATACCTTTAAAAATACTGGTGAGGATGTGCAACTTTGTGCAACTTTGTACTTTAATGGGAATGCTTTGTGTTCATCTAGCAAGCATAATATCAACTTGTTTTAAAAACATATTTTATTACATTAAGAAAGTATCTGCCTATATTACAATTTTGTTTACAAATTCTTTTATTATTATTATTATTATTATTATTATTATTATACTTTAAGTTTTAGGGTACATGTGCACAATGTGCAGGTTAGTTACATATGTATACATGTGCCATGCTGGCATGCTGCACCCATTAACTCGTCATTTAGCATTAGGTATATCTCCTAATGCTATCCCTCCCCCCTCCCCCCACCCCACAACAGTCCCCAGAGTGTGATGTTCCCCTTCCTGTGTCCATGTGTACTCATTGTTCAATTCCCATCTATGAGTGAGAACATGTGGTGTTTGGTTTTTTGTCCTTGCGATAGTTTACTGAGAATGATGATTTCCAATTTCATCCATGTCCCTACAAAGGACATGAACTCATCATTTTTTATGGCTGCATAGTATTCCATGGTGTATATGTGCCACATTTTCTTAATCCAGTCTATCATTGTTGGACATTTGGCTTGGTTCCAAGTCTTTCCTATTGTGAATAGTGCCACAATAAACATACGTGTGCATGTGTCTTTATAGCAGCATGATTTATAGTCCTTTGGGTATATACCCAGTAATGGGATGGCTGGGTCAAATGGTATTTCTATTTCTAGATCCCTGAGGAATCGCCACACTGACTTCCACAATGGTTGAACTAGTTTACAGTCCCACCAACAGTGTAAAAGTGTTCCTATTTCTCCACATCCTCTCCAGCACCTGTTGTTTCCTGACTTTTTAATGATTGCCATTCTAACTGGTGTGAGATGGTATCTCATTGTGGTTTTGATTTGCATTTCTCTGATGGCCAGTGATGATGAGCATTTTTTCATGTGTCTGTTGGCTACATAAATGTCTTCTTTTGAGAAGTGTCTGTTCATGTCCTTCTCCCACTTTTTGATGGGGTTGTTTGTTTTTTTCTTGTAAATTTGTTTGAGTTCATTGTAGATTCTGGATATTAGCCCTTTGCCAGATGAGTAGGTTGTGAAAATTTTCTCCCATTTTGTAGGTTGCCTGTTCACTCTGATGGTAGTTTCTTTTGCTGTGCAGAAGCTCTTTAGTTTAATTAGATCCCATTTGTCAATTTTGGCTTTTGTTGCCATTGCTTTTGGTGTTTTAGACATGAAGTCCTTGCCCATGCCTATGTCCTGAATGGTAATGCCTAGGTTTTCTTCTAGGGTTTTAATGGTTTTAGGTCTAACGTTTAAGTCTTTAATCCATCTTGAATTAATTTTTGTATAAAATGTAAGGAAGGGATCCAGTTTCAGCTTTCTACATATGGCTAGCCAGTTTTCCCAGCACCATTTATTAAATAGGGAATCCTTTCCCCATTGCTTGTTTTTCTCAGGTTTGTCAAAGATCAGATAGTTGTAGATATGTGGCGTTATTTCTGAGGGCTCTGTTCTGTTCCATTGATCTATATCTCTGTTTTGATACCAGTACCATGCTGTTTCTAATAAGAAAGTAATTGAATTTTATAAAAATCTTTTTGACATCAAGGTGGCCGGTCATATGTTCTTTTTTTTTTTGACCTGTTTATAAATGGTAGACAACAAATATCTCTCCAGCTAGTTTAAGCAGAAAAAGATTTCTTAAAAGATATTTTATGTCTTTCAAAATCTTTTTAAGAGCTGTAGTAACTGGCTCCAGGTTTAACTTCCTTTCATGTCATACTCACTGCCCTCATCTAGAAAGCAGCTGCCATTGTTACTGAAGTTGCTGAATCAGGGAGCTTGACTACAGGTCCAAAGGGCTGCACCTGAATTCGTATCACAAATGAGATCCTCACTCCCTGCCTCTCTTCCTCTTAACTCAGTTTTAACTTCAAGCCTTAAAGTCTGATTTGCCTGCCTGATCGGCAGAACCTAAATCACACCCAGCTTCCCAGATGCAAGTGCAACTCAGAAATGCAGATTTTAGAATTTCAGCCTCTGCAGTACAAGAAAAGCATACCCCAAGGGGGCTTAAATGGCTATTGAGAGAGACAGTCTACACAACCTGCCACACTATTCATACAATGAATAATATTAAGAGAGTTTGTAACACTGAAACAAATTTTCATTTCTGGAAAATATTCTAGTTAACTCTATAGGCCAATATTTTGCATTGATATTATTATATGTGATTGGTTGGGTATCCCCCCTGGCTTTTTTTTCTGTTTTGATATGGTTTGGATCTGTGTGTCTGCCCAAATCTCATGTCTGAATATTCATCCCCAGTGTTGGAGGAGGTGCCTGGTGGGAAGTGACTGGATCATGGGGGCGTATTTCCCCCTTGCTGTTTTTGTGATGGTGAGTGAGTTTTCACAAGATCTGGTAGTTTAAAAGTATGTAGCATCTCTTTCTCCTGTTCCTGCCAAGTAAGGCATGCCTGCCTCCTCTTCAGTTTCTGCCATGATTGTAAGTTTCCTGAGGCCTCCCCAACCATGCTTCCTGTACAGCCTGCAGAACTGTGGACCAATTAAACCTCTTTATAAATTACCCAGTTTCAGGTATTTCTTTACAGCAGTGTGAGAATGGACTAATACATTGTTTTTGTACAGTTTTGTGATATATGCTATATTCAATTCATAGACACAATTTGGAATCTTCCCTTTTCTTATTTGCTCCAGAGCATTTTAGATAGTTAGAGCTATTTGTTCCACCAAAGTTATGATGGACTTCACCTACCCACCTATCTGTCTCCTATCATGTCTATAGAGCAGCTCTGTTATTTATCTCATTCAAAAAATGTTACACAATTTTTTTGTATCTTTCTTTTTTTAGTGATCAATTTTAGAAATTATTTTCCTAGTATAGCCTCTATTTTTTTCCAGATTACCAAATTTAATTGCATTGATTTCAGTAAACTATGTTATTATTTTAATTTCTTCTCCATCTGTAATGATTTCTTCAAATGTATGTCTTTGTGTGTGTTTGCATCTTCTCTCTTTTTTCACAATTAGGTTAAATATAAGCTTAACTGTTTTACTGCTTGTTTGCTTTTTTTGAGGAAATACCCCTGGAATTAATTTATTAGTTTTCCATTTTTTTCCCAAATATATTATTTTCTGTTTTTATCTTTATTTTTTATTTCTTTAGGTTTGTTTTGTTTGACTCTAGTTTTTTGTGTTGGATAATTAATTAACACAGTGGCTTTATTTTCTACAAAATCAGCATATGAAGTCATAGATTTTTCTTTCTTTATTATTTACAAAAATACTTTGTTTTTTAGGTGATTGGCTATTTCCATTTTCTTTCTGAACCAAAATTAAAAATAATTTTCAAATAACTAATGTTTTGGCATTTCCTTTTTGTTATTCTTTTGTATTTTTATAAATTGTAATAAGATAATTTTGTCTCATGATTTTATCTTTTTATAATATATTGATAATTTTTGGAATAATATAAAGTCAAACTTCAAAGTATGTAAGCACTTAAAAGTGTGTTCATGGTTTTCAGAGTGTATAGATTAATATATGTTTTTGATCTACATTTTTGTTATGTATACTTCCTGTTTGCCCTTTCAAAAAATTTTACCTGTTTATTTAAAGGCGGAGAAAGTTAAGTTAGAATTTTGTGTTATTAATATGCTACTTTATATTACATTTCCTGAAATATTTGTTGTATACGATCATATTTTATATAATCAGATGAGTAAATAGTCAGTCTTCTTTGTGAATTTTGTGGTTTATTTTTAATAAAGTTGTCACTTGACTCATTTAAAGTTTTTGCTTCAATTTCCCCCTTGGTTAATATTAATATGTCAATTTTCCTATTTTTAATTGCATTTACTTGTTATATAATTGCCTACTGTTTTACTTCCAACTCTTGTGAGTCACTTGCTTTAATTTTCTCCCCTAAACACAGGATACTGTTGGTTTTACTTTCAAACTTAATCTGTTTGTTTTAATAGACTGATTAATCCCTTTTATACTAATTAGTATGACAGATAAGTTTTCTTGATCTTAATTCTGTAACCTTCTGATTTTTCTTGATAAAAGTGAGGGAATAGATAAAACCAGTACATTACAGTCACATCTTTATTAAACTGCAAGATCCAGAGGGGCTGGTTTTCTATTTTATCTTCTGCCTTCTTATTTATCTTTCATGCTCTTATTCCTTGATTTAATGCAGGAGAAAATTAGCTATGGATATTTATAAATGTTTTCTTTCTTCCTTGTTTCTGTGTTTTATCTATTTATTCATATATTTAGGATTAAAAAGGGAACTCTTATTTTATTCCTCCATTTCAACTCAGAAATCTAAACCCATAATTTTTAATGAATGCTTGACAATTCATAATATAGATGTTTTGAATTTAGTTAAAATATACCTAATATATAGGTTGTTCTTATTTTGTCAATGTTAGAGATAATTCTGAGTGGAATAACTTTATACTTATACTTTGGTGCAATTAGGTAAATATTTCTGTAGAATGGAGACCTATAAGTATAATTTTGGAACCAGAGTATATTTACACCAACATATACTCCAAGAGTATATGGGGAAGATTGTTTTGCCATAGTCTATTCAATATTATTAATATTTTAAATCAGATTTTACCACTTTGATGAGTACAATATTTTATTTCTATCCCTATTTCCCCTATTGTATGTGAGTTTGTATTAGTTATGTCATCTGTTTTTATTTTTTTCTGTGAATTTTTCTTTTTTTATTAATTTGTGGAAACATTTTCTATATGCTGGCTTTGCCTTTTCTTTTATATATTCTGCAAATAGTTTCTCCTTGTCTGTCTCGTGGATTTTATCTTTTTGTAGGAGTTCTTAACACACTATTTTAGTTGGTATGTAATTAAGCTTATGAAAATATTTTTCTTTATGATGTTTTCACTAGTATAATTATTGTTATGAGCTATGAGGTATCCAGGTGGTCACTTAGGATAATGAGCCCAACTAAAAGTAACAAATCTTTACTTACTTACTGCAATAGTATATAAGCAAGAGCCAAAAAGAGAAAAGTTCTGGCTCCCTCAATGTTCCATTTCTCCCCATGGAATGGCTCCAAGTGAGGGTAAGTCAGATAACCAGCAGTAAAGGTGGAAGAAATTGTCTCATTGTCATGGGAACCCTGAACTTAGGCTCCTGACATTTTAAAGACCTTGAGTCCTAGGGGAAGGAGGGGAGAATGGCTAGAAAACTACTGAGTCATGGTAGAAGGTACAGAGACTTCTCATCTAACTGCTACCCCCACATAGCCTCCCCTATTATCTACATCCCCCAACAGAGTGGTACATTTGTTACAATTGATGAACCTTCATTGACACATCATTATCACCCAGTCAATAGTTTGCATTAGGATTCATTCTTGGTGCTGTATATTCTGTAGATGCAATAGTCTGAACATTTGTGTCTTCCTCAGGTTTATATATCAAAACCTAATCTCCAATGTGATGGTATTAACAGGTGGAACTTTCAGAGCTTACTAATTATTGGGATTACTGCTCTAATAAAAGAGACTGAAGGGAGCTCATTTGCCCATCTACCACGTGAGAATGCAGTGAGAAGGCACCATCTATGAAGCGTGAAGCAGGAAGCCATCTCTCACCTGGTACCAGATCTGCTTGTGTTTTGATCTTGGACTTCCCAGCCACTACAACAGATATAAATTTCTGTTGTTTATAAGCCACCCAATTTTAGGTATTTTGTGATAGCAGCCCAAATGGACTAGAACAATGGATTAGGACAAATGTATAAGGACACACATACACCATGATAGTATCAAACAGAGTAGTTACACTGCCCTAAACATCCTCTGTGCCATACCTCTTCATCCTCCCTTGCCTAGTTATTATTATTTTGGGGGAAGACAGGAGGCACATTGTTATGTTTTCAGTGATTAGGGTCTCTAAAGGACTTCGTCCTGCCCTATATGTGCAATTATGTAAAAATAATAAGGATGTTTCTAACCACTTATTATTAGACATTGACTGCTGGAATACACTCTTCTTCAGTGCAGCTGGGAGAAGTCTGTCTCTCTCCACTTTTACAGGACAGGCATATGAAGTGAAGGTCTAAGCAAGAATTAGCCTCAGTTGAGCCAGAAGAGTCACTGTCTGCCTAATAGACAAGAAACACATACTGTATTCCCAATGATTTCAGATCAGGCTCCCTGGAGAATTTAAAGTGATGACTAGAATTGTTTGAGGGAACCGTTACCCAAAGGCAAGGGTAGAAAGAGAAAGATTACGTCATAAGAAGACACTAATTTTAGATGAAGCCAAGTGATCAAAGCAGTAATTCCTATTAAGAAAATGTTTAGTTTTAAAACAGAAGACAATCTTGAGTGAATTGTTATGTAAATTCTTATGATTTCATACCACAGTGGAACAATCAGAAAACTACAAAATGAATAGAGTTTTAGAAAATAGAAAACATGGTTTTATTAGTCCGTTTTCATGGTGCTGATAAAGACATACCTGAGACTGGGTAATTTATACAGAAAAAGAGGTTTAATGGACTCGCAATGTCATGTGGCTGGGGAGGCCTCACAACCATGGCAGAAGGTGAAAGGCACATCTTACATGGTGACAGACAAGAGACAATAAGAACCAAATGAAAGGTTTTTCCCCTTATAAAACTATCAGATGTCATGAGATGAATTCACTACTATGAAAACAATATGGGGGAGCCATCCCCATGATTCAATTATCTCCCACTGTTTTTCTCCCACAACATGTGAGAATTATGGGAGCTAAAATTCAAGATGAGATTTGGGTGGGGACACAGCCAAACCATATCATTCTGCCCCTGGCCCCTCCCAAATCTCATGTCCTCACATTTCAAAACCAATCATGCCATCCTAACAGTCCCCCAAAATCTTAATTTCAGCATTAACTCAAAAGTCCAGTCTCATCTGAGACAAGGCAAGTCCCTTCTGCCTATGAGCCTGTAAAATTAAAAACAAATTAGTTACTTCCAAGATACAATGGGGGTACAAGCACTGGGTAAATACAGCCATTCCAAATGGGACAAATTGGCCAAAACAAAGAGGCTACAGACCCCATGAATGTCAGAAATCCAGGGGGGCAGTCAAATATTAAAGCTTCAAAATGATCTCCTTTGACTTCATGTCTCACATCCAGGTTACACTGATGCAACAGGTGGGTCTCCATGGTCTTGGAAGCTCTGCCTCTGTGGCTTTGCAAAGTATAGCCTCCCTGCTAGCTTCTTTCACAGGCTGGTGTTGACTGTCTGCAGCTTTTCCAGGTGCATATGCAATCAGTTGGTGGATCTACCATTTTCTGGGGTCTAGGGGATGATGGCCTTCTTATCACAGCTTCACTAGGCAGTACTCCAGTAGGGGCTCTCTGTGGAGGCTTCAACACCACATTTCCCTTTCACATTGCCCTAGCAGAGATTCTCCATGAGGACCCTGCCCCTGCAGCAAACTTCTGATTGGACATCCAGGCATTTCCATACATCCTCTGAAATCTAGGCAGAGGTTCCCAAACTTTAATTCTTGACTTTTGTGCACCTGCAGGCTCAACATTATGTGGAAGCTGCCAAGGCTTGGGGCTTGCATCCTCTGAAGCCACAGCCTCAGCTGTACCTTGGCCCCTTTTAGCCATGGCTAGAGTGGCTGGAATGCAGGGCACCAAGTCCCTAGGCTGCACACAGCAGTGGGGCCCTGGGCCCCAGCTATGAAACCATTTTTTTCCTCCTAGGCTTCCAGGCCTGTGATAGGAGGGGCTGCCATTAAGACTTCTGACATGTCCTGGAGACATTTTCCCCGTTGTCTTGGCAAATTAACATTTGGCTCCTCGTTACTTATACAAATGTCTGCAGCAGGCTTAAATTTCTCCTCTGCAAATGAATTTTTATTTTCTGTTGCGTGGGTGGTTGGGCTGCAAGTTTTCTAAACTGTTATGGTCTGTTTCCCTTTTAAAACCGAACGCTTTTTAACAGAACCCAAGTCACCCTTCAATGCTTTGCTGCTTAGAAATTTCTTCCACCAGATACCCTACATCATCTCTCTCAAGTTCAAAGTTTCACAAATCTCTAGGGCAGAGGCAAAATGCCACCAATTTCTTTGCTAAAACATAGAGTCACCTTTACTCCAGTTCCCAACAAGTTTCTCATCTCCATCTGAGACCACCTCGCCCTGGATTTCATTGTCTGTATTATTATCAGCATTTCATTTAAAGCCATTCAAAAAGTCTCTGGGAAGTTCCAAACTTTTCCACATTTTTCTGTCTTCTTCTCACCCTCCAAACTGTTCCAATCTCTGCCTGTTACAGTTCCGAAGCTGTTTGCACATTTTCTGGTATAATTACAAGAGTGCCCCCACTCTACTGGTGCCAATTTACTGTATTAGTCCATTTTCACACTGCTGATAAAGACATACCGGAGCCTGGGTAATTCATAAAGAAGAAGAGGTTTAGTGGACTCACAGTTTCACATTGCTGGTGAGGCCTCACAATCATGCAGAAGGTGAAAGGCAGGTCTTACATGGCAGACAAGGGAGAATAAGAACCAAGCAAAATGGGTTTCCTCTTACAAAACCATCAGATCTCGTGAGACTTATTCACTACCATGAGATTGCTCCCATGATTCAATTATCTCCCACTGGGTCCCTCCCACAACACCTGGGAGTTATGGGAGCTACAATTCAGGATGAGATTTGGGTGGGGACACAGCCAAACCGTATCAATGATGTTTAAATTTAAAATTTCAATAAAGAAACTCAAAACTGCTGTAACTAAATTATTTCTCTGGAAGAGCAAATGGAAGTCAGTGCAAAAATAATAGAAAACACAGAAGAAAAGATGAGACATGGCAATGATCCAGGCCTTCCTAAAAAGAGAGAAGGAGAGTTGAGCAAGAAGAAATGATCAAACAATAGAAGAAACCATGAATAACAGAAAGATTTAAAGTCTTAAGAAGGAAAGGCTCACTGAGTTCAAAATAGGATTAATTTAGAAATATATACCTAGGGAATTTTCTGAATGACAGAGGTAGAAAAAACTTTGTAAGCCTACAGATGGAAGAGAATGAAAACAGCGTCAAGCTTCTTATGTAGGCTAAGGAAACAAATTTTTAGAGAAAAGAAGTTTGATCCAAGAATTATATTCCCAGCCATTTTCAATTCTTATATAAGACAAAAGGCAGAGATTTAGGGACATGCCAGAAAGCTAAAATTACATCCCTTTAATTTAAGTAATTGAGAGAGTTGAGCACAGGGGAAATTATATCAGAACAAACATTTATGTAAAACAGAATAAGAAGTAGAGACAAATCCCATGAGACTGCTCTCACTGCTTTTGAGGAGCCCCTACTCCCACCCCTTCATGCTTTGCTTCTTGTTGGTGGGCTAGGTGATTTGTATTTTTCTTTTAGTATAAACATGACTGTTTTCTGTTTTTTTGTTTGCTTGTGAAGCCTTTATGTCAACTTTCTTAGAACATCCCTGATGGTTGCTGGAATAGCAGGTTCCTTCTGTGGTGGTCCATAATGCTTCCAGCATATTGGTAGACTGCTGGAATGATGTGATAGGTAAGAAGTGTCATTCTGTTCAGTACTCTGGGATATTTCCTTTTTGGAGTATCCATCCATATATTTCTATTTTCCATTTCTGATTATTTCTCAATCTCCAGTGCTCTGGTTTCCCTTTCGGTTGCAGAGAACATATGTCCACTATAAATCAAACAGTTTAATACAGCATTAAGTATAGGCTTCATCTTAGGCACTATGGTGGGTGGATATCTTACTTAATTACAAGGAAAATCTTATACCTTATAAGAGTCTGTTCTGTTTCAATATTTCCACAGAATTATGTAAAACTCAAGCGTCTAGACAATGGCCTGCAACTGGGTAAGAACCAGACACTCCCAGATAAGAAGGAATATAAAATACAGGGTGTGGCCATAATCCCCAGGGCACCACATAATTAGAGGACTGCTCACCTTCTCTGGATTGATGTTCTGTTAGTGTTGAAGGACATTAAGAACCTGATGTTCTCTGAAATTTAAGACAAAATTTAATGCACTTACTGTACTATAGTAATTTCGACTTTGCCATCAATGACTGCTTTGGGGTGAAGCTGAAGGCCATGGGCACTATAGCAGTGCCCTAGGGGCCACTTGTAAACCTATACAAGCACAACTCTCATGTGATCCCTTGCACTCCAAGACTTCATTGTGTAATGCTGCTGGTCCCTTGGTAGTGCTCACTAAGTCATTTTCTCTTCTATTTTCTAACCTTTCCCCATTCCATTATCATGGACCTCCAGCTGACTGTGTGTGAGGCCTAGGTCAGTGACACACCCATGGCCATGTGGCAGTTTGATATGGTAGGGGATGCACCTACACCTCTTCTTCTCAGGCATTGTCTAGGAGTTCAGCTTCTGGAGTCCATACAGTTTTGGCAGCTACATTAGCTTTACTGGCTATTTTTAAAATGACATGAAATGAATGTTGTTATGTGAGGAAAAGATTGTTGAAAGGAAAAGTGATTAGAATGAATTATAACACAAAGAAACAAACTCCAAGACATGTGAATTCAACCTCAAATGCTATAATGGGAAGGATAGTGGATTGGCATTCATGCTAACAAGTTTTGCTTTGGAAACGTTTGGTGGAGTACATGAAAAGAGAAAATTATTTCCTGGTGGGCATGCTGTATTGTTAGGTCACCAGCCAAGCCTTCAGCTGTGTGTATTTATAATGTGGGTGTTCAGCAATTAGCTCAGGAATGTTGGGCAGTAATTGTTGAGACAAACTTGGCCAAAAGGAAAGGTATTAATCATTTACAGAAAAAAGTTTTATTTTTCCATCTGGGTCAGTGGGGTTAAAATTTTTAAGGGAAGAAAGATACCAGCTACCAGAATATGAAAAAGAAGGTGGAATAACAAATGTGATATGTGGAAGAATGGAAGAGACCAAAAAGGTTTCCTTACTAAGGGGAAACAAAGTTGCATATTGGTAAAATGTTGGTCAGCTAGGGGAAGAGAAGAATTAGCAATGAATGACAAATTATGCAAAATGAATCTAAAAAAAGAATTATAATTCACCAATAGAATACGAAAAGCTTCTCAGTTACACATATGATTAGGAAGATGCAAATAAAGCCACAATAAAATGTTAGTTTGAAACTACCAGGTTAGCAGCAATTATTTTTACATTTTATTATATTTAGTGTTAATAAAGGTGTGGAGAAACAAATATAGCTATACACAATTGGTGGAACATTAAGTTAATCCAATTTTTGGAGAGAAATCTGGCAATATCTATTAAAATTAAATTTTATATCCTTTGATAAACAATTTCACCTTCAGAAATGTAACCTTAATACAAAATGAATTTGTATGAATTTAAATTTGCGTTGTCTGTAAGTACAAAAAAATTGGAACAATTTAAATGTCTGTTAGAAAAGTTGATATTCTAATGATGTCAATTCTAACCAAAGTAAAAGATGGGAATTGAGATAGGATGTTATTCATGTAATAATTGATGGAAAGACTAATAGAACTAAATAGAGAGTCCAGAAAACCTATGTTTACGTGAAAATATAATTTATTTAGAAAAATTTCATGTAGGTGAGAAAAGTGTGAGGTATTCAATTAGTGGTAGAAAGACCATTGATTGTCAACTTGAAATAAAATAGATAAAGTTACTACATTTCATTGATTCTAACACTACTTCTTTTCATATTTAACATTTCTGAAATTTCTTACAGTTGGTGGAGAGTCATAGTTTAATTGGAAGCATTTTCTTTTCTTTCTTAGAAGTATATAAATTAAAATAATACTCTTAGAGTCCTATATTTAATAACATATGGTAGATCCCTACTTAACACAATAGAGGAAAATTAATTACACACACACACACACTCGTACATGCATAACAGATGTAAGCAAAGGTGAAAACACAGTAATTTTTATTTATAACTGAGAAGTTTGGATCTAGGCCGCAATTCTAATAGAAATTACAAAGGCTTTACCTGGCCATGGTAATGGGTAGAAAGCTGCCCTGCACAGTTCAAGCTTGGTGTATAATTAGTGCATTGCTGTCTCTGGAGGGAGTTGCATTGGAGGACTCAGCCTCCCAGCACCTCCCCTACCCCAGTGATCATGCTCATAGGTATTCCTGCATTCCAAGCTTAAGTGCCTCCATTCAGAGGCCTTCTTATTGGAAGATGAGGGAGGATGTCTGTTCAGACCCTTTTCAGGTGCCTCCACTGCCTATTTTTTGGAAGGGGGATGAGTGTCCTTGAATGAGTGTCCTCCTAAACTAAAAACCTGTACTGCACATTATTGTACTGAATACTGCAGGCAGTTGTAACACAACGCTAAGTATGTGTGTATCTAAACATAGAAAAGGGGTAGTAAAAATACAATATTATAGTCTTATGAGACCACTGTAGTGTACACGGGCTATCATTGATAGAACTGTCATTCTGTAGCACACAACTGGATATCTCAAATACAGTCAATAATTTAATTTTCTCATTTTTCTCAGAATTCCTGCTTTAATACTGCCATAAGCACTTGCTTTGTCTGATCAAGAATTAGTTTAGCAGGGTATACCTTGTGAGCAGGTTGGGGTGGTTCATCTGAGTGTGCTAAGAGAGTCCGTCCAGCATTCTGTTCAGGGATACTCTAGTAGCTGTGAAATTAAAAATGTTTGCTCAGTTGCTGCTAGGAAGGTCGACCTCCTCCCAGACTTCTGAGTCATGAGCCCTCTTGTGGGACGCAGCAAGTAGGGGCTGCGTCCAATGATGCTGCCATCTGCTGGCGTTGACTGCCCCATTTTCTCTGGCATGGAAGCTTCAGACATGTTTCGGAGCCCTGTGATCTTCAAGGACTAAATAGGGTTCACTCAAAATGCAAGTTGGGCTGACTCTGAGCAGAATAGGGAGAGAAAGGAACTGTCAGATTGTGCTTGGCCAGCTATTTCTCAAGGATGTTAGAAAAAATACTTTCAATATAATTTTTGGAAGATAACATCATTCATTTGCATAAAACAAGATGAACAAGACTAATTTCTAATTTGACAATTTGCTGTCCACAGAATTTTTCATTACTTGAATTATTTTATTTATTAAAAAAAAATCTCATCTCAAGAACTAGAGCTAGAATGGCACATAAAGAGGTAGCCTGGAGTGACTTTTACAAGAGTAAATGTTTTTCCAGTACTATGTTTGATTAATTACATTAGTCTAATAAGTTCAATTTCCTATCTACTGACTTTGATGTTCAGAATTATACTGAAGTTATCTGTTCAAAGACTGGTGATTAGCACAAGAAATTGACTTTATAATGGTTCAAATCTTTTGAAGGGCTAAATTGTGAGTTTCCCTAGAGGTATAGATTAACTACAGAATTGTTATTCTGAAATGCCAATTACTTTTCCACAAAAAATTATCAAAATGAACACATACATGATCTCTGTCTATCCCATCTATGCCTGCTTTCTCTTTGACTTACTCAGGTTCCTAATGGAGAAGAAAATGCAGCCATCAACATTGGCTTCTTTCTGGCTTGGTCCAAGCACATAATTTGTCCACATTGGACTCTCCACAGTTTATGAGTTCCAAGTCAGTGCTCAACACCCCTTGCCTCTCAATTTTCAGTTGAACTGAATGAAATGAAAAATAACTTCTCATAAAAAGGATGGGGATTGACTGAGGACTCTCTCAGATATTTTGACAAAAATTCATTCCTCAAATAGAGAACTACAGTATTCAAATTTTTTATTCAGTATAATTGAGTAACCCAAATGGTGGAAAAATAGTCACAGAGAAGATAATAAGGGTAATTATCTTATTACAGAGAAAACATATACTATGTAAAATTAAATTATCTTTAAAATATCTGGAGAATATATATAATACAAACTTTGTTAAAAAGAAGGAAACACTTATTATTCATCCCCCACACTCAGAGAGACGTACAGAAAATCATACTCAATTCTTTCCTTGGGAGGATCACTTCTGGTTCCTATGTCTTCTCTTATTATTGCCTTATTCTCATAAAAACACAGATATTCTTTTTTATTTGGTGATTTTGGAGAAAATCACATTCTTCTAGCATAGCCCCAAATCATGGCTCTGCTTTTTCTCTGATGTTCAGATTACTGATCAATATGGTTTTACTGTACCCCACCCAAATCTCATCATGAATTGTGACTCCCACAATTCCTATGTGTCATGGGAGGAATCCCATGGGAGACAATTGAACTATGGGAGCAGGTCTTTCCTGTGCTGTTCTCATGATAGTGTATGAGTCTCAGAAGATCTGAGGGTTTTAAAAATGGGGGTTTCCTTTCACAAGCTCTTTTTTTTTGCCTGCCACCATCCATGTAAGATGTGACTTGCTTCTCCTTGCTTTCCACGATGACTGTGAGGCCTCCCCAACTGTGTGGAACTGTAAATCCATTAAACCTTTTTCTTTTGTAAATTTTCCAGTCTCAGGTGTACCTTTATCAGCAACATGAAAACACACTACTACAGAAAATTGATACAAGGAGTGGGGTGCTGCTGAAAAGATATCTGAAAATGTGGAAGCGACTTTGGAACTGGGTAACAGGCAGAGGCTGGAACAGTTTGGAGGGCTCAGAAGAAGACAGAAAAATGTGGGAAAGCTTAGAACTTCTTAAAGACTTGTTGAATGGCTTTGACCAAAATGCTGATAATAAAGTGGACAATAAAATCTAGGCTGAGGTGGTGTCAGATGGAGATGAGAAACTTGTTGGGAACTGGAGTAAAGGTGACTCTTTCTATGTTTTAGCAAAGAAACGTGTCATTTTGCCCCGGCCATAGAGATTTGTGGAACTTTGAACTTGAGAGAGATGATTTAGGGTATCTGGTGGAAGAAATTTCTAACCAGAAAAGCATTGAAGAAGTGACTTGGATGCTGTTAAAGGCACTCGGTTTTAAAAGGGAAACAGAGCATAAAGTTCAGATAATTTGCAGCCTGACAAAGTGATAGAAAAGAAAATCCCATTTTCTGAGGAGAAATTCAAGCCTGCTGCAGAAATTTGCATAAGTAAGAGGAGCCAAATGTAATTTGCCAAGACAATGGGGAAAATGTTTCCAGGGCATGTCAGAGGTCTTTAAGGCAGCTCCTCCCTTCATAGCCCCAGAGGTCTAGGAAGAAAAGATGGTTTTGTGGCCAAGGCCCAGGGCCCTCCTGCTGTGTGTAGCCTAGGGACTTGGTGCTTGCATTCCAGCTGCTCTAGCCATGGCTAAAAGGGACCAAGGGACAGCTTGGGCTGTTGCTTCAGAGGGTGCAAACCCAAGCCTTGGAAGCTTCTATGTGGTGTTTAGCCTGTTGGTGCATGAATGAGGTATGGGAACCTCCACCTAGATTTCAGAAGTTGTATGGAAACACCTGGATGTCCAGGCAGAAGTTTGCTGCAGGGGCGGGTCCCTCAGGGAGAACATCTCCTAGGGTAGTGTGAAAGAGAAATGAAGGGTTGGAGCCCCCACATACAGTCTGTACTGGGGCATCTCCTGGTGGAGCTGTGAGAAGAGGGCCCCCATCCTCCAGTCCCCGGAATGGTAGATCCCCTGACGGCTTGCACCATGAGCCTGGAAAAGCCACAGACATTCAACACCAGTCTGTGAAAGCAGCCAGGATGGGTGACATACCCTGCAAAGCCACAGGAGCAGAGCTGCCCAATACCATGGGAACCCACCTGTTGCATCAGCATGACCTGGATGTGAGATATGGAGTCAAAGGAGGTCATTTTGGAGCTTTAAGATTTGACTGCCCCACTGGATTTTGGACTACATAGAGCCTGCAGCCCTTTTGTTATGGCCAATTTCTCCCATTTGGAATGGCTGTTATTTACCCAATACTTGTGCCCCCATTGTATCTAGGAAGTAACTAACTTGCTTTTGATTTTATAGACTCATAGGTGGAAGGGACTTGCCTTGTCTCAGATGAGACTTTGGACTGTGGACTTTTGAGTTAATGCTGAAATGAGTTAAGATTTTGGGGGACTGTTAGGAAGGCATAATTGGTTTTGAAATGTGAGAACATGAGATTTGGGAGAGGCCAGCAGTGGAATGTTATGGCTTGGCTGTGTCCCCACCCAAATCTCATCTTGAATTGTAAATCCCACAATTCCCAAATGTCATGGGGAGGAACTCTCTGGGAGGTGATTGAATTATGGGGATATGTCTTTCCTGTGCTATTCTCATGATAGTGAATTAGTGTCATGAGATCTGATGGTTTTAAAAATGGGAGTTTCCCTGCACAGCTTTGTTGTTGTTGTTGTTTTGCCTGCTGCCATCCATGGAAGACGTGACTTGCTTCTCTCTGTCTTCCACCATGATTGTGAGGCCTTCCCCACCATGTGGAGCTGTAAGTCCCTTAAACCTCTTCCTTTTGTATATTTTCCAGTCTTGGGTATGTCTTTATTAGCAGCATGAAAATGAATGGATAAAGTGATAAAACATATTCTCTCTCTGCTCATGTTTCTATGAGGTGTGTGCCAGCATGAAATAAGATGGAGGGGCTGGATTAGAGGGGAGTTGTGATGCACCTTTGTGCTCCATTGTTGTAGGCTGTGGTTCTTCAGCAGTAGGTAAAGCAATTCAATTCAGGAAGACAGAATTAGAAAGCCTGATATGCTGTCATCTTGGGGTCTTGGCACTCCTACTTTCCTCTGCCTGGAATGTTATTTCTCAAGATATAATTACACCCTTCAGGTCTCTGCTCAAATGTCTCCTTCTTTGTGAGGACTTTGCAAACTACCCTGTTTGAAATGACAGTGCCCTTCCTAGCACTCTTTATACCTTTCTTGATATCCCACATAGTTTATTGTTTCTTCATTCTGTCTTTTCCCAACTAGAATGTAAGCTGCATAAGAATTTAACTTCTCTATCCCCACTGCTCAGAACACTTGTCAGTATAATTCTACAAGCATTTTTTGAATAAATGAATAAAGGCCCGTGGTTTCTGGATCAAACTGTTTCTTCAAAATCGGTTTTACCAAGAAACCTATAGTTTGGAAAATAAAGATAGTACTATATTTTAGTTCCTGTAGAGCGCCTATGTATATTTCTTGAATTTGTTATCCCCATAGATGAATAATATTGTGATTGATGACTATCCTAGGACTGAGATAATAATATTTGAAAATCACAGACTGTACCAGCCAAAGCTGTCAAGTTTTGTGGGGCGGAGGTATGTGGGAGGAATGCATATTGGGATTTGGTGAATTCACTGTCATTCTTAGCTTGGGTAATTTATTTATATATGAACATATATAACCCCTTAACTCTTAGATAACCACTATATATAAAACACTATTAATATATAATTGTGTTTGTAAAGCTAGATGGATGTAAAACCACTCATGTTATAGACAGTGGTATTTCAGAGTGAAGGAATTATGAGTTTCCATTTACATCATTTTTTGAGGTGCTTATTTCAAATTTTAAATTGAACATACATGTTTTAATCATTACACAGGGAATAATACACTCTGTTGAAGAATAATTCTAGGACAAGGGAAACTAGACAGCTTCCTTTAGTAATAATATGTTCTACACCTTTCTGTCCTCAATTGGCTTGATAGCAACCCTGTCTAAATGCTCATACACACATTTAATAAGAACAGAGCACTTGCTGTGCTAGACTTGAAACCAATCCCAATAGTTCTCATGTACACGCAGTGTATTTTCTCAGAATAATGTTTTTATCATAATATTCATTTACTGTTTTCAAGCATAGGATAGCCTTCTGTTAGTAGTAGTTTGGTTTCTAATTAAGGTGACTGGCAGGTTGCACACATGTTCCATATACAAAAGGATTTGATTTAAATTAGACTCTATTCTGTAAAGGTTTTATTAGCTCAACATTATACAATACAGATCTTTTGCATTGATTCCTCAGAAAATAAATGTGTTAATTAATCCAAAAAACCTTTTTTGATCACCTACTATGATTCAGGCACAGCTTAAATACCAACAACATGATGTTGAGCTCAAATAGGTATGGTTCCTAGCTGATTTTACTGTTCTCAAGGGAGACTGCTTAATTCTCAGGTAACCTTGTGTTCCACCAATGCTATATTTTGAATAGTCCTTTAGTCTCAAAACTCTTGTGAAATCTCTATAACTTTTCATATTTCACACGTAGTTTTGTGTTCTGTAAATCTTGTTTCAGAGCAGGCATGGCAGTTTCAGTTGGTTTCTAATGACTTTTCCAAAAAGGAATTTCTTTATAACATAAAGAATAATACATGCTCCTTGAATATGGAAGGAAAAGTCACTTCCTATTCTGTTATTTTATATTGGAACCATGTGTCAGTACATTTAAAGCACAAGCACACATACATACATTGCGTTCAAATAGCAGGCCTTGTATTAACACTTACCCGTGTGTGAAGTTATGCTTTACCCGCTATTTGAAATTTCCTCTTCCTCATTCCATGTAATTTCTCTAAATCTTATTTATCTATTAAATTCCTTCTTCTTTTGAGAAGAATCTTGCCTGTGCACTCTATCTCAAACACATATGTCTCCTTCTGAGCACCCAAAGCACTTATGGTTTATACCATATAATCATTTGGCATTTAGAGTAGGAATGATTGTCTATCACTGTGATTCAGAGTTGCTACCTATGAAGTATGCAACTATGCATGCTATTTTAAAATGTTCAAGAGGAAAATGTATCTGGTACCTTTAAAAGTAGAAATAAACTTGAAAAAAATCTATATGATTTGGTAAAGAAGTTAAATGTATTTCATTTTTAAATCCTTGGAACAGAATCAAATTGTTTTCTTGATTAGAAAAAGATAGTCACGAAGAGATTTGCCAAGCATAATCAAAATTTTTCACTATTTCTTTTCATCCCTGACTAGATGAGAAGAATGCTACAGATGGTCAGTTTTTCCCTCTTGCTGAAATGTAGCTAAAGAAATTGCAAGAGTAAAGCCTGATAAAAATGGGCAAGACAGTGCAGTGTAAAACCTAGGTTTCAGTGGAAGGCTTATGTGGCCCTAAATAGTTGAGGCTGTTCCAAAAGAGGCTTTAGGCACCTAGTGGATGAGTTTTGTGTATTCTCTAAATAGAGTTAGAATAACCTATTGAGAGTGTTGATAGTAGTTAAGATGCGTGCAGTGATGTGTCATCCAACACAGTGTAATAAAGGATCTAATCCCGTTTTTGATATTTAACTGCTGACAACTCTCAGGCCCACCTTGCCTCCTCTATTTTTCCCCAGCTCTGGGCAAATTGATTAAAAAGCCTGGGTGCTCACTTCTCTGGCATTGATGATTTCACCATGTACACTCCTGCCCATGCATGGGAACTTTACCACTGGCCCTACCTGTTGTCGGAAATAAAAATACATGCTATTTTTCTTTCCTGGCTCTCTCAAATCATTTCAGACCTGCTTGGGAGGCCTGCCTTGCTTTCACCAGAAAAGCATCAGTTCTGTAAGTAAGAAACCTTTTCATACTCTCCTGGTGTGTGTGATGTCATCAGTCTTGACATGAACCGAATTTTGAGTAGAGACTCATCTACTTTTAAACAGAGTAGCCACAACTCCCAGTGTTTGAATTATAAAAATTTCCCATATATCGTGTTTGTTTAAAATGATTAACTTTAATCTTTCCTGCATTTTTAATAACAACATAGGTTACTAGCTTGCATTGTTCTTCTCTAAATATATGAGGAAACTGAGATACATGGGTCATAAACTTACAGCATAAAACCATAAAAATGTCCACTTGGTGACTGATTTCTAAATTGCAATTTTAAGCCTTAGAAAGAAATAAACAGGCTTATTCATATATGCTCTCCTTGGACACTCAAACCAAGATAAAGTCTTTAAACAACATACTCAGAACTCTGTAAATATTAGAATTGGAAGGCAGAACACCTGTCAAGGTGTCTTGCTAGTGGCAGATCCAGAATGTCAGCTTGGGCTGTTAAAAGTTCACAGATAACCTAATCAACCTTGAACATAGGGGACCCTTCAGATTAAATGATGTGTAACCTAATGATAGTGATACATTTTTTACTTCTTTGAGCTAATATTTAATTCTATGTTCCAAGCACCTTAATAAGCAGTTTACATGCATTACCATGCCTAATTCTGCAAAGGCCCAGGGCTAGATTTTAGAGATATCACTCATGAACAGATGAGGAAATGGACACTTGTATCAGATAATCTGTAGTCCAGGGTCACACAGCTACTATGTATGAGAGCTTGGAGCCCAGGTGTGCTTGGCTCCAGAAGCTGTTCTCCACTAAACCCCTTGTGTACCTATCCCAAACTCTTGTGTGTACTCTAATCTGGATACAGCTAAAATTTACTGGATAATCACTTTTGCATGAGACATGCTTAAAGAGAATCAAGGTGGCATTGTAGAAAGAGTATTCAATAGCGTTTTTACATACATAACTGAATTTCCACTGTGCTACATATCAGTTTGTTGGTTACCTGAGTAAAAACACACTTTTAGTGACTTTATTTATTTATGAAACTACAGGGTTGGATAAGGTAAAATGTTCTTGTTTTGAGACTCAGAGAACACTGAAATTATATGCAAATCTTATTTTTGCATGTATGGATGCATTTTCCTGCTAACAGTGTCCATAACATACCTATTTCTTAAAGGGTATCATAAAAAATGATAAGACTCTCAACTGGATAGCTGTTAAGTTCTTTTGTAGCTCTAAAAATAAAATGTTTCTATCCAACTCAAGAAGACAGAGAGACAGCAGAAAGGATCAGGAAGTGGACAGAAAAGATAGGGTTCTGAAGTTTTTTTTAAAATAATATTTGGCTAAATCAAAACCTGGTAACAAAATTCATTTTTTTTCTCCTGAAATGGATTATAATTCACAACACTACCATTAAGATACTCTTGTTTGCATCTTGGTAAGATCAGATTTATTTTTCCCATTTATATAGAAAGATGTAGATTTGGACATTGAAAGAAAAATCTCTATAGATTTTTATTTATAATCTTCATCCCTCCTTCTGTCTCCAAACCTGCTTTTCCTCAGTGATCCTTAGATAACCTTGTCACCACTTTTAATGGTTATTTCTAAGTGATTGACCTTGATATCTGTTCAGAAGACTGCTGATTTCTATGCCTTTCTTGTAACTATATTTTTTATTAATTTCTTTTAAATTTAATTTTAATTTAGATTTTAAAAAGTTCTCTGGTTCTTCTCCACCTTCCTGAACCTCTGTTTCTTCAAATTTCTAAATGTAGGTTTCCCTTTAGATAACTTTTTAGTCCTTTTTTCATTTTCTCTAAATTTCCTTCTTGACCAATCTTCTTAAGGGTTAATTCCACATGTAAGACAATCACTTAGCTCTCATAGGTTTTCTAAAATTACAAAATGTTATTATTTAAAGGTTATACAGTGGTTATTGAACAGAAAGGACTAAGACAGTGATGCAACATGCCCAAGACACAACTAGTGAGAAAGAAAAATGGGACACATATCCTGGTGTTCTGATTCTAAATATAATCCTTGTCCCAGTATGCCAGGAGCTAGGAGGCAACACCTCAAAGAAGTAGAGATGGAGAAGGAAGGCAAACATAGCCACAGGTGAGACAGCTCAATAAATTTTAATTGAAAAAAAAAAAGTTAGAAAAGAAGTTGCTCTAGATGACAATTTGTCTAAATGATTATTTGCCTTCTATAATGAATATTCCACGTGTATTAGTCTGTTTTCATGCTGCTGATAAAGACGTATCTGAGACCGGTCAATTTACAAAAGAAAGAGGTTTAATGGACTCACAGTTCCACATGGCTGGGGAGACCTCATGATCATGGTAGAAGATGAAAGGCACGTCTTGTTTCATCTTGTCTCATATGGCGGCAGACAAGAGACAAGAGCTTGTGCAGGGAAACCCCCATTTTTAAAACCATCAGATCTCATGAGACTTATTCACTATCACAAGAAAAGCATGGGAAAGAACCACCCCCATGATTCAATTATCTCCCACTGGGTTCCTTCCATAACATGTGGGAATTGTGGGAGTTATAATTCAAGATGAGATTTGGGTGGGGACACAGCCAAACCATGTCACCATGTGACAATTTAGTATGTTTGTTTTCCCTTTTATGTTGGCATTTGCCATAGCCCAGTTTCTCCTGTTTTTTTGAAATACTCTAGTGGCCTTACAATAGATTTTCATTCTTTTCTCTTTTTAAATTTTTATTCTGGTTTTAAAATTTAAATATTTAATCTGGTTGTGAAATTTTAGAAGAGGTTAAGTTTAGAAGAAGCAAGTTTCCTTTGTTGCAGGTTGCTGAAAAGGAAATTTACCTCTTCTAAACTTTACCTGTTCTAAAATTTCAGCCTCCAGCTCTTCATATTCCCTTCCCTTTTTTTCTTTCTTTGCATATACTTACCATTATCCAACATACTATATAATTTACTTACTTATTTTGCTTATCACCTGTTTCCCATTTAGACTGTAAGCTCCCCTAAGGGCAGACTTCCTGACTGCTTTGTTCTGTCTTTTATCCCCAGCATAAGGAGAATTCCTGGATCCTGGAATTTCTTATTATGGATATCACTGTGTTCCACACTAAAATGCTTTTTACCTCAGTGGAATCAAATAAAGAAAATATGCTTCTAGAACAGCATGGAAGAAACTAAATTTATTTATAAAAATACATAAATAAGATGTCATCTTTGGAAGAAAGAACACCTACATGCATATTAAACATATAAAGTCAAATCCTGTCTTCCACATCAAAAATCACTCCTTTTACTGACAGTTTTTGTACTTGGAATCCTGATTAACAATTCTTTTCTCACCTACAGTTGTCATTTCAAAACACTGAACACCAGAGAATGTAAATGTCTATTTTTGTTAAGAAACAAATGCTTATGTCGGTGCTGCCGAATTCTAGAAAAATATCAAGGAAACAATGTTTTCTTATACCTTTCTATGCCCCTTTTGGAAACAAAATACAAGTAACAAAGAGAGTGGGTTGTTTTTGGAATTCATTATCCAAGCATAAAGAAATTTAGACGTCAGGAAGCCCTCACAAATCCTCTCCATTCTTGCTCAGAACAGAGTTGGAGGACAAGGTCAGGTGGCAACTTTTCTTTCTTTTTTCTCATACATTTCCTGAAGCATCTTCAAAGAAAATCTAAAAAATGACTCTGTACATTACAATATAAAAAGTAAAAATTTTCAGAAGATAAGACGGACCAGCATCAGGATTGACTTATTCACATAAATCTAAACCAGAATTTGTAGAGGTAAATTTTGATCTCAGAAAAGGCAGAAAGAGTTTTGTGGCATTCATTTATTTTTAGCTACATACTTCTTTTCCTTGCGCAGTGTAGTGAAAAAGAGAGTAATCTTTGAAGCCAGTCAGACTGAGATTTCAATCTCAACTGCAAAGTTAAATAGCTATGTCCCCCTTGGGCAATTAATTTTATATTTTTGATTCTTTTTTCCTATCCTGTAAAATTGTGCTTAATATATCTCATAGGGCTGTTGTATTAAATGATATAATTTATATGAACTATGTAATATAAAATAGGCAAATAGATCTTTAAAATTGCTAGTTTTCCTCCTACACAAACATGTATTCTTTGTCTACATTTAGATGTGTATATATATATATACATATATATGTTAATAATTTATTCATTTAACTACTAACCTAAAGAAAATAGTGTCAAGAAATTTAAATTTTGTTTAAATTTCAATTTAATTGGACAATGTTCTAGTCCTGTCTTATTTACTTAAAATAGGCATTTTGGTAATTTGCTTACAATAGCAAAAAGCAACTTCAACTTATTTTTTAAAAGGGTTTTTGTAGAGACTGTGATGAGGAAACTTTATCAGAGTTTCAACATTATATTCTATGGCTGAGTGTCAAGGTTGTACTACGAATTTATACAACATTGGTACTTTTCCAAGACATTATTCTCTAGGCAAGGCAAATTTAATATGATTGAAAATAATATTCTTAAGATTACTGCTGTACTTATTAGGGTAAATTAGTTACCATTTTTCATTTTGAGTGAAAATGTTGTGCTTCATTTACTATAGTTTTTCATAGCAAAAAAAATTAAGTGCCTGAAAAGCTGTTCTTGCTGTCTGTTCCCTTAATTCTCTGCAACTAGGAAAATATATTTGCTAAAAGCCTCAATCATCTGAACATAAGTCTTACATAGCCCATTATAGGATCTCTGATTAAAACAGATAACAGAAACTAAATTGTACATAGATGCTTCTTGCTCACTCTGTCACCCAGGCTGGAGTGCAATGGCAGCTACCTAGGCTCACTGCAATCTCCACCTCCCTGGTTTAAGCAACTCTCTTGCCTCAGCTTCCCGAGTAGCTGGGATTACAGGTGTGCACCAACATGCCCAGCTAATTTTTGTATTTTTAGTAGAGACAGGGTTTCACCATGTTTGCTAGGCTGGTCTTGAACACCCAACCTATGGTGATCCACCCACCTCAGCTTCCCAAAGTGTTGGGATTACAGGCGTGAGCCACCATGCTGATTATGTAAGAATTATGTATTATTCTTACATAATTAGTTAAATAAATATGTGGCAAATATAAAAATATATCTTCTACATATCTAGTCATTTATGTCAATCTTTGGTCATGTTACATGACTCCAAATTGGCTTACAAATATATAGCATCCTGACTGGTAAGACTGAGGAACTACCATGGTGAAGAATGTTTTCCTTCCTTTATTAAAGCTTTAAGGTATTTCCTTAAGCTTCCTTGATATAATCAAGTTTTTGTTGTTAATTAGTATCCTGTCAAACTGTCATGCAGTTACCAAAATAGGAATCAAAAGGTGATTGAGGCAAAGAGAGAACAAAATCTTTAAGTATTTATCAGTTAGAAAACAAAGATTCAAACAGCATGTTTCAGACAGTATTTTATAGATTTTTTTTCACCTAGAAAAGGTCTTCGAGATCTTCTAGTTCAACACCACCTTGTCCTTCACCATCATCCTGCACTTTCCCTTCTGTAAGAATGTGTGGGTGGACTGTAGTGGGCACGGTTGCATGGAGTCCCATAGAAATGCCCCTAGGATCCTGTATTCCAGCTCCATGCACCCATCCCCCATCTTCTGGGTGCTTTCCTGCTGATTGTGCATACCAGTGATCAGAGGATTGCCCTTGACCAACAGAGCCCCTCACCTGTAGGCAGTGGTGGCTGGAAGCACTGGAAATTCTTAGGTCATTTCCCCTGCCTCCCCACTCCCACCCTTTCATAGCCAATAACTGGTGCAGGAGTACAAAAGCTCTACTTCTTTGCCTTCATGTTTGTGACCAACTTTGAGGTGTCATTCACTCTCTAGAGCTTCTAGCAGTATCAGGCTGCTGGGGAATTTGCTCCTGAAAGTGTGTAATATGTTTTTCACTGGAATCCTTGCCTTAGTTTCAGCTTCCAGAAGAACTCACCCTGTGTCACTGCCTATAGCATTTTATAAAGAAAAATATTTGACCTAAGGAGGTTAAGTAACTCATGAAATTTGCAAAGTGACAGAGAGCAGAGGTTGGATGGCATATATTCCAGTATTTAATGGACAGCAAAATTCTTGGAGCAATGAGTCTAACCTTGGCTTCCCATTAAAATCATATGGGGAGCTAAAAATAATTTAAGTGCTGATGGAAAAGTCACATTATATACATACTAAATAAGAACCTCTGGGGGTGGAGGCATGGCAGTGGTATTTTTAAAGTGTCCCAGGTGAGTCTAGTGTGTAGCTAGGGTTGAGAACCACTGCCATAGAGTTAATTGCTTGGTTATGTTTTTAACATAAGTGGTGAAATAGAAGTAGGGTTGGGTAAAAGAATAGCAAACAAGTAAATTTTGAATTTGGCAGTGCTAAGATATTCTCTGTTTACGCTTTCTGACGTGATAGGGAAAAGGGAACAGATAAGTGTTTTAAACAAAGTTTGCAATTTCACATGGTTACAGAGGCTGGGTATGAATACATGAGGAAAGCAGACAGTTATTTTTGTAAAACCTTCTTTTATTGCTTAATATTAAACATGTAGAAACAATTTATGCTTCCACCATATGCTCTTCCCTTTCTTCACCCACCTCCCTTTATTTTGAAGTATAAGGTCCTCCAAACTGATCTTTCATTTTTCTATTTTTGACAGAATATGAATACCAGAAATGTTTCCTTTTGAAAAAATTGTTATCTACAAAAACGTGACAGTTATGCTCAGGACTGGCCACTGACCCTTGTATTCAGTGCAGCAGAAGCAATAGGAAGACTGAAATGCCCTAAAAGCATGAAGAAAACTGCAACATAGCTCTGGTTTATCACTGCCCTTTGGGAGCGCAGGCCTAGTGTTACCGGAAATTTGATTTTTTGAGAGTTCAGAGATCAAGATTTTATGGGAACTTGTATTCATTTAAATGTTAAAAAAAATTTAAGAAATTAAGATGACTAACATTGTATAGGAAACTGAAACAGATTAGTAGAATGGATTTTTGCTACAAATCAGTAGTTTTTGACTTTTGGTTTACAATATTAGTGTAAATCTATACCTTTTTTTTTGAAAAATACTAATTTAATTCTAAACTTTATTTCACATTGCTTGATCACCTAACTTTCAATAGTCTATAAGTTGTGCTAGCTTTATATGATTCCTTCTTGTTCTGCTTCACCCTATGCATATTTTTTAATTTTTAATTTTTGTGGATACATAGTAGATACATATATTTATGGGATAAGTGAGACACTTTGATGCAGGCATGCAATGCATAATAATCACATCATGGACAATGGGATATCCATCCCCTCAAGCATTTATTCTTTGTGTCACAATCTAATTCTAATATCTTAGTTATTTTAACATGTACAGTTAAGTTATTGACTATAGTCACCCTGTTGTGCTGTCAATTAGTAGGTCTTATTTATTCTCTCTCTCTTTTTTTTTTTCCCGTTAACCATCCTGTTTTCCCCTCTAAACCCAATTACCCTTCCTGGCCTCTGGTATCCATCCTTCTACTCTCTACAACCATGAGGTCAATTGTTTTGATTCTTAGATCTCACAAATGAATGAGACCATGCAAAGTTAGTCTTCCTGTGCCTGGCTTATTTTATTTAATGTAATATCCTCCAGTTCCATCCATGTTGTTACAATTGACAAGTTCTCATTTCTTTCTATTGCTGAACAGTACTCCATTGTGTATACCACATTTTCTTTGTTCATCAACCGTTGATGAACACGTAGGTTGTTTCCAAAATCTTGGCTATTGTGAACAGTGCTGCAAAAAACGTGGAAGTGCAGATATCACTTTGATACACTGATTTCAATTCTTCTGAGTATATACCCAGCAGTGAGATTGCTAAATTATATGATAGCTCTATTTTTGGGTTTTTTGAGGAAGCTTCAAAGAGTTCTCCATAGTGCTTGTGCTAATTTACACTCCGACCAGCAGTATATGAGTGTTCCCTTTTCTCCACATCCTCATCAGTATTTGTTTTGCCTGTCTTTTTAATATAAGCCATTTTAACTGGAAGATTTGCATTTCTCTTATGATCAGTGACATTGAGCAACTTTTCATATGCCTGTTTGTCATTTGTATGTCTTTCTTTGTGAAATGTCTACTCAAATTTTTTGCCCATTTTTAATCAGCTTATTAGATTTTTTTCCTATAGAGTTGTTTGTGCTCCGTATATATTCTGGTTATCAATCCCTCACCAGATTTGTTTGCAAATAGTTTGCAAATATTTTCTCCCATTCTGTGGGTTGTCTCCTTACTTTGTTGATTATTTCCTTTGCTGTACAGAAGCTTTTAAACTTGATATGATCCCATTTGTCCATTTTTGCTTTGGTTCCTTGTGCTTGTGGAGTATTACTCAAGAAATTTTCTCCCAGACCAATTATCTTCTCCAATATTTCCTTATAGTACTTTCATAGTTTGAAGACTTAGAGTCTTTAATCCATTTTGGCTTGATTTTTGTATAAGGTGAGAGACAGAAGTCTAGTTACATTGTTCTGAATATGGATATCTAGTTTTCCCCACATCATTTATTGAAGAGACTGCATTTTCCTCAGTGTATGTTCTTGGCAACTTTGTTGAAAATGAGTTCATTTTAGGTTTATGGATTTGTTTCTGGGTTTTCTATTCTGTTTCGTTGGTCTATGTGTCTGTTTTTATGCCGGTATCATGCTGTTTTGATTACTAGAGCTCTGTCGTATAATTCGAAGTCAGGTAATGTGATTCTTCTAATTTTGTTCTTTTTGCTTGGAATAGCTTTAGCTATTCTGGTTTTTGTGGTTCCCTATACATTTTAGAATTTTTTCTATTTTTGTAAAAAATATCATTGGTATTTTGATAGGGATTGCATGGAATCTGTAGATTGCTTTGGGTAGTATGAACATTTTAACAATTTTGATTCTTCCATCTATTAACATGGTTTTAAAAAAATTTTTTTGGTATTCTCTCCATTTTCTTTCATTAGTCTTTTATAGTTTTAATTGTAGAGATCTTTCACTTCTTTGGTTAATTCCTAGGTATTTTATTTGTGGCTATTATAAATAGGATTAATTTTTAAATTTCTTTTTCAGCTTGTTCACAATTAGCAAATAGAAATGCTACTGATTTTTGTATGTTGATTTTGTATCCTATAACTTTACTGAATTTGTTTATCAGGTAATCATTTTTTTTGTGGAGTCTTTAGGTTTTTCCAAATATAAGATTATATCATCTGTAAAAAAGGAAAATTTGACTTCTTCCTGTCCAATTTGGAAGCCCTTTATATCTTTCTCTTGTCTGATTGCTCTAGCTAAGACTTCCAATACTATGTTGAATAACAGTGGTGACAGTGGGCGGCCCTGTTGTGTTCCAGATTTTAGAGAAAAGCCTTAAATTTTTTCAGCATTCAGTATGATGCTAACTGTAACCCTGGGATTTATCCCAAGGATAAATCCCACTTGGCTATGACAAATCTTTTTAATGTATTGTTGAACTTGGTTTGTTCATATTTTTTTGAGGATTTTTGCATCAGTATTCATCAGAGATACTGGCTAGCAGTTTTCTTTCTTCGATGCATCTGTGTCTGCTTTTGTTATCAGGGTAATACTGGCATCATAGCATGGATTTGGAAGTATTCCCTCCTCCCCTATTTTTCAGAATAGTTTGAGTAGGATTGGTGTCAGTTTCTCTTGAAATGTTTGGTAGAATTTACCGGTGAAGCCTTTGGGTCCCAGGCTTTTCTTTACTGGGAGATTTTTTTTTATTATGGCTTCAATCTTATTACCTGTTATTAGTCTGTTCAGGTTTTGAATTTCTTCATGGTTCAATCTTCTTCTTCATGGTAGGTTGTATGAGTCTAGAAATTTATCCATTTCTTCTGGATTTTCTAATTTATTTAAATCTTTCTTTTCTTCTTAGTTTGGCCAAAAGTTTGTCAATTTTGTTTAACTTTTTTTTAAAAAAAAAACAAGTTTTGTGTCATTAATCTTTTGTATTGTTTTCTTCATTTCAATTTTATCTCTTTCTACTATAATTTTTCTCATTTCTTTTCTTCTATCAATTTTGGGTTTGGTTTGCTCTGGCCTTTCTAGTTCTTTAAGATACGTTATTAGTTTTTTTTATTTGAAGTTCTTATTCTTTTTTGATGTAGGCACTTACAGCTATAAACTTGTCTCTTAGTACTACTTTTGCTCTGTCTCCTAGATTTTGACATGTTTTGTTTTCATTGTTTCAAGAAACTTTTAAATTTTTTTCCTAATTTCTTCATTGACCCACTGGTCATTCAGGGGCACACTGATTAATTTCCACGTACTTGCATAGTACTTAAATTCCTCCTGCTATCAATTTCTAGTTTCATTGCAATGTAGTCAGATAAGATGCTTAATATTATTTCAATTTCTTTAGTGTTTTCATATGTGTTTTGTGACCTAACATATGGTCCATCCATGAGAATGATCCATGTGGTGAAGAAAAGCATGTGTTTCCTGCAGCTATTGGATGAAATGTCTATTAGATCCATTTGGTCTTTAGTGATGATTAAGTCTGATGTTTCTTTGCTGATTCTCTCAGGAATATCTGTCCAATGCTGAAATGTGATGCTGAAGTCTCCAGCTATTGTATTGGGACATATCTCTCTCTTTAGTTCTAATGTTTGTTTTATGTATCCGGGTGCTTCAGTGTTGGGTGCATATATATTTACAATTGTGATATCCTCTTGCTAAGTTAACCCCTTTTTTATTATATAGTGACCTTCTTTGTCTCTTCTTATAATTTTTGTCTTGAAATCTATTTTATCTGGTGTAACTATAGCTACTCCTGCTATTTTTTGGTTGCCATTGGCATGGAATATCTTTTTCCATCCCTTTATTTTCAGTCTATGTGTGTCTTCAAAGGTGTTCTTGTAGGCAACAGATGAATGGGTCTTGATTTTTTATCCATTTAGCTACTCTGTATCTTTTGATTAGTTTAGTCTATTTACATTCAATATTATTATTGATAAGTAAGGATGCACTCCTCCTGAATTTTGTTACTTGTTTTCTGGTTGTTTTGTGGTCTTCTCTTCCTTTTATATTTCCTTCCTGTGTTCCTTTTAGTGAAGGTAATTTTCTCTGGTGATATGATTTAGTTTCTTGCTTTTTATTTTTTGTTTATTTGTTGTATGTTTTTTGGTTTGAGGTGACTATGAGGCTTGCAGATACTATCTTACAACTCATTATTTTAAGCTGATAACAACTTAACACTGTTTGCATAAACAAATAAGTGAAAATAAAATCATTAAAAACTCTATATCTTATCTTAGTACCCCTGCTTTTTAACTTATTGTTTTGTTTTATATCTTATTGTACTCAGTAAGTCTTAAAAAATTTTGTAGTTATTATTTTTGATTGGTTCATCCTTTAGTCTTTCTACTTAGGATAAGAGCAGTTTACATACCACAGTTACGGTATTATAATATTCTGTGTTTTTCTCTGTATTGGCTATTACCAGTGAGTTTTGTACCTTCCGGTGATTACTTTTTGCTCACTAATGTCCTTTTCTTTCTGATTGACGTATTAGCATTTCTTGCCGGACCAGTCTGGTGTTGGTGAAATCCCTCAGCTTTTGTTTGTCTGGGAAAGTCTTCATTTTCCCTTCATGGTTGAAGAATATTTTTGCTGAATATTTTTTCTTCACACTTTGAATATGTCATGCCACTCTCTCCTGGCTCATAAGGTTTCCACTGAAAAGTCTGCTGTCAGATGTATTAAAGTTCCTTGTATTTATTTCTTTTCTCTTGCTGCTTTTAGGATCCTTTCTTTATCTTTGATCCTTAGTAGTTTGACTATTAAATATAGTCTTCTTTGGGTTAAATCTGCTTGGTGTTCTCTAACTTTCTTGTACTTGGATATTGATAACTTTCTTTAGGTTTGGGACATTCTCTGTTATTATCCCTTTGAATAAACCTTCTACTCCTGTCTATCTCCTCTTTAAGGCTAATAATTCTTAGACTTACCCTTTTGGGCTATTTTCTAGATCCTGTAGGCATGCTTCATTGTTTTTTATTCTTTTTTCTTTTGTCTCCTCTGAGTGTGTATTTTCAAATACCCTGTCTTTAAGTTCACTAATGCTTTCTTCTGCTGGACCCATTCTACTATTTAGGACTGCATGCATTCTTCAGTGTACCAATTGCATTTTTCAGCTCTAGAATTTCTTCTTAATTCTTTTCAATTATTTCAATATCTTTGTTAAATTTATCTGATAGAATTCTGAATCTCTTCTCTGTGTTATCTTGAATTTCGTTGGGTTTCCTCAAAAGCTATTTTGAATTCTGTCTGAAAAGTCACATATCTCTGCTTCTTGAGGACTTGTTCCTGGTACCTTATTTAGTTCATTTGGTGATGTCATATTTTCCTGGATTGCCTTGATACTTGCAGATGTTTGTGTCTGGGCATTTCTTAACATTCTGGGGTTCTTTGTACCTGTCCTTCTTGGAAGGCTTTACAGATATTTGAAAGCTCTTGGTGTTGTGATCCAAGCTATATCTACTTTAGGGGGCACCTCGAGCCCATTAATGCTGTGCTTTTTGCAGACTCATAGAGGTACAACATTGATGGTCTTGGACAAGATCCAGGAGAATTCTCTGGATTACCAGGCAGAGACTCTTGTTCTCTTCTTTTACTTTCTCCCAAACAAATGAAGTCTCTTTGTTCTGAGCCACCTGAAGCTGGGATTGAAGTGAAACAAGCACCTCTGTGGCCACCACTACTATGACTGTGCTGGGTCAGACCTAAAGCCAGCACAGCACTGGGTCTCACCCAAGGCCTGCTGTCATCCTTGGCTCCTGCCTATGTTTGCTTAAGGCCCTGGGCCTCTATAATCAGCAGGTGGCAAAGCCAGCCAAGCCTTTGTCCTTTGCTTCGGAGCAACAAACTCCCCTAGGTCCCAGGCAGGTCCAGAGGTACTGTCCAGGAGCCAGGGACTAGAGTAAACTAGAAGTCTACCTTGTGGTCTACTGTGCTGTGGATGAACCGGCACTTAAACCATAAGATGCGGTCCTTCTCACTCTCCCCAATGATTTCCAAAGGTAGAGGAGCCTTACCCCATGGCTACCACCACCACCATAGTCCCACAGGAAGGACTGCCAGACTACTATTGGTGTTCCTTCAAGTCCCAAGGCTCTTCAGTCAGCTTTTGGTAAATGCTGCCTGGCTTGGTACTCACCCTTCAGGGCAGTGGTCTTTCCTTTGGTCAAGAGCAGGTCTAGAAATGACATCCAAGAGTCAAGTCCTGGAATCATGGATCCAAAGGGCTCGGTTAGTGCTCTACCACCCTGTGGCTGAGCTGGTAACTAACATGCAAGACAAAGCCCCCTTTACTTTTCCCTCTGCTTTGCTGAAGCAGGAGTCTTGCCCACAGCCACCACACCTGGGTATTGCTACTGGTTATTCAGGGCCCAAGAGCTCTTCAGTTAGCAGGTAATAAATGCTGCCAGAATCAAGTCCTTCCCTCCAAGGCAGTAGGTTCCCTTCTGGCTCAGGGTATGTCTAGAAATGCCATCTGGGAGCTAGAGCCTGGAAAAAGGGCCTCACAACTCTGACTGGTGCCTTATTCTGCTGTGGCTGAGCTAGTATCCAAAATGCAAGACAATATCCTTCCTACTTTTTCTTCTCTTCTCCTTAAGCGTAAGGAAGGAGTCTCTTTTGGGGCTGCAAGCTGTGCTGCCTGGGGTAGGGGAAGATTGATGCCAGCACTCCTTTAGCTACCACAGACCACAGTTGGTGTCTTAGTAAGTCATGTGCCCCCTGAGTCCACTGTCTCTAGGCCCAGTTTAGCACTAGGACTCTTCTAGGTGTTGCAGTGTTTGTGGCCTAGACTGCCTTTCAAGTTTATTTAGAGCCCCAGAACACTATAACACACAGTAGCAAGGCTTGTGGAAGTCAAGTTTTTACCACTGGGATTGGCAATACCTCTCTGGTGAGGGCTGTTTAAATGCTCCCTCTGTGGGTGAGCATCAGCTGAATTTGGTCCAGTTTTCCTTTCTGCTATAACCGGACAGCCAGTGAGTTTAATGCCTCAAAGTTGCTGCACTATCTGCCCCTGTTTGCACACAGAAATGCCCTCCTCACTATGCTGCCATTGCCAGGGCATAGAGGAGGGGTGGTGTTGGGAATTCAAGACTGTATTTTACTATCTGTTCAGTGCCTTTTTCAGTAATACAAAATTACAGCCAGGTACTATGAGTGCTCACCTGTTTTTTGGTTCTTACAAAGGTGCTTTTATGTGTAGATAGTTGTTAAATCGGTGTCCTTGCAGAGGGGATGATTGGCAGAGCCTTCTATTTCTCCATCTCACTCCAACTCCTCTATCACCCTGTATACTTTTTATGTATACTTATGTATACTTCATATAATATAATATATAGATGGAAGTAAACATGCACATATATTAGTTTTCATAAATTCAAAAATTAAATTTTCACCACAGTCTTCTGGATGGGAATAATCTAACAACTTTTAAGTAGGCTCTACATAGGCCCAAACAAAAACATCTTTTGATGAGGTTTTTTTTTTTTTTTTTTTTTTTAAATTCCTGCCACATTTCTTATACTCTTTTCCCTTCTTATTTCCCAGAGCTTCTTGCTAATGAGAAATCTGGTTAGCTGTTTAATATGTATATGCTGTGTTTTGTAAGTTTAGGAATAATAATATATCAAGAAAAAGGGCAACAAAATTCTAAAAATTTAAACATATACAGTACCTATAAATCAAAATGTAGAAAAAGGCAATTTACATCTCTGAAACAACAAAGGAGAAAATATTTAAAAATACTTTCTAAACATTTAAAGTGTACTTAGGTCCCAGAGAAAAGGCATGCAATGAGGATCTTTGCAGTTGTAGAAGAAAAATTAGGCAATAGCTTTCCATGTGTTCATATGTATCATTGCAATTAATATTACAATATTGAAAATTTGAGGGTCAATATGAAAGCCAGATAAAAATGGCAGATTTTTATAAGCCAGTCACATGAATAAATGATTGTCCTGCAAAAAAAAAAAATTAAGGTTGAGCATAAAGAGAATAGGAAAGAAAAAGTGGGGAGGGAGGTGTTATAAGCTAGCTCTTGATTAATTAGCAATCAGAGTGGAACAACAAATATGAAGGCCTGATCAATCCGGCATGTTCATTAATAAATGTCTGAGTGGATTGCAGGTACAGAGGTTGTTACAGTAGGAGGTGTACATCATTATACTAAGCATGTTTCAGATACCACAAGGAGCCCTGCTGAAGAGAAGTTTACAAAATAGGTGTGATAATGTTTCATATATATATCAAATATTAAATAAGATAACTTATGAGCTATTACAAAGCAATATATGATTTTACAAAAAGAGGTATGTAAGTGCAATGAGTTCCATGGACAAAGAAAGTTGATGACAGGGGAGAAAGATGAGTTGTATTCCTATTCATTTGAAAAATTTAATAATTTTTAGGTCGACCCTTTTGTACTTTCCTAATTATCTTTCAGCAAATAACCTTGATTAGTTTGGTACTTCACATCGTTTTACAGTTATCTCAGTGTCCTTCCAAGTCATATGTGGTCTATTGAGAGTTCTATTGTTCTTTATTTCTATTTAAAATTACAGGACAGAAAGCTTGATTCAATGCTAGCAAACACCTATTTATTTCCTAATCCTTACCTTTTTTGTTTCATTAGTTTCTCCTCTAATTATCTCCCAGAATTTTCTTACAAAATGATGCCACTTAGGAATGAAGACTTGGCATTCCTTACTGGTGCAGAAAAGTTAACTGATTATTTAATCAGTAATTAATTAAAATTATATAATTTTGAAAATTAAAGAAATAACCTATCAGAGTCATATTCTTTTTTTTTTTTTTTTTTGAGACGGAGTCTCGCTCTGTCGCCCAGGCTGGAGTGCAGTGGCGGGATCTCGGCTCACTGCAAGCTTCGCCTCCCGGGTTCACGCCATTCTCCTGCCTCAGCCTCCCAAGCAGCTGGGACCACAGGCGCCCGCCACTACGCCCGGCTAATTTTTTGTATTTTTAGTAGAGACGGGGTTTCACCGTTTTAGCCGGGATGGTCTCGATCTCCTGACATCGTGATCCGCCCGTCTCGGCCTCCCAAAGTGCTGGGATTACAGGCGTGAGCCACCGCGCCCGGCCCAGAGTCATATTCTTAATCAAGTTCTTTAACATCAGAAATATTTTTAGAATACTAAACATAAAATTATGGTCATGTGGTATTTGAATAAATATTAATTTAGTTCAAATTTCATACCATTTCTAAAATACATATTGACATTTACCTATACTGTATGTGAAATATATTAACAATAGATTTGCTTTTCCATGTTTAGACTTTTACATATACTTGTATAAAATAATTCGTTTTCATTTTTAAATTGGGAAGGAGAGGAGTAATACCTCATCACGACTTTTTATTGGTTTTGGTTCATATTAAAGCACATTGACTGCAAAATAACCTGTAATTGCTGTCACCTTTTTTTCTCTGTTCTTCTCTTTGTTGTTGTTGTTCTGCCCCTCTTCTTCCTTTCCTCCTCTTCCTCCTTCTTATCTTGTTCTGTTTCATCGTCTCAGTTTCATAAAGGATGAGTTAATGTGGGTCTATTTCAACAATAAAAAGGGTGTGCAGGCTGGGCACAGTGGCTCATGCCTGTAATCCCCGCACTTTGGGAGGCTGAGATGGGTGGATCACCTGAGGTCAGGAGTTCAAGTCCAGCCTGGCCAACATGGTAAAACCCCATCTCTACTAAAAATACACACAAAAAAATTAGCCAGATGTGGTGATGGGCACCTGTAATCCCAGCTACTTGGGAGGCTGAGGCAGAAAAATCGCTTGAACCTGGGAGGTGGAGGTTGCATGGAGCCGAGATTTCGCCACCGCACTCCATCCTGGGCAACAGAGTGAGACTCCGTCTCAAAAACAGAAAAAAATGGGTGTGCATTTGTCTGTAAAAATATCCTTTTACTAAAATACTTACTGGTATATGACATTTGCAATACCAATAAAAATAAAACTAAATTACAGAAAAAAATCTTTTAATAATACAGTATAGAGGAGAAAAGAAGAGTAGAAGGTAGCTGGACTAATTCAAACAGAGATAAAAAGAGTCATAGCAATAGGCATCATACTGTGAGCAATAGACAAATTCCACAAAGATTAAAAACCTTATGTCTGACAGATTAAGTGGAAAATTGAGCAAATATAGCAGCAGAACTCTAATAACTTTCATAGAAACAAAATGGTTTTAGGAGATAAACTATATCAACTGATGAGTCATAATTTGGCTTATTTGACTGATAAAATTAATTATACTCCATGATAGTGATAGGACATATATACATCTAACCTATCATTCAGATAAATATGCATGGCTCAACAACTCCGTACATTAATGAAAGAAAAACATACGATTAAATATAAAAATTACATTTTTTACATTATGGATACTATGTCTGCTGCTGCCTTTAAACATTATGAAGAGTAAGTCTCTCTGAGAAAGATAGAATATTTTCTTTTTTGAGGCAGTGGAGAATCACAGTAATATCAGGCTGTGGTCAAATTTTAATTATCAAATAGGGCATTATTCAATATGGAAAAGGCAAGAAAGAAAACTCCTCAGCAATGTCTCCCATGTACCCCATATTTATATTTTCTTCTTTTTTATTAATTAACATACTCCTTTATTATTTATTTACTATCTAGTTTGAAATAGATTTGAAATATGCTAAAATTAGAAACATAAATTAAGAATTAAAAATGATGCAATGGAATCATTAAAGCATGAATTTTAAAAATCAATAGTCATATGGTAAAGAGAGATGTTAATATCAAAATGAACTAGGCTAAAATAGTTATAATATAATAAATTAGCTTGAAGTTTAGCTTTTGCCTGAATAGGAAGCAAGTTAAAAAAAAATCAAGGAGATTTTTGAAATTTCCACTACCTGCAATCCAAAATAGCTTGATTATCTTGCAGACATTGTGCTCTGCTCTTTCCCCTGGTGTGCTATTTCCCTCAGTTTTTCCAGAGCTGTGGACATGTTTGTTCTCATTCTCTGGAAGCTATGCAAGTTGTTGGGAAAAACATGCATGCACACACACTCACAGTTTTACTTTCTCCTCCAAATTTATCCTCTATAGTCATGTAATATGTTATTTGAAAACATAAATGTTAAAAATGTAGTTTAAAGATGCGTATTTTCCCTCTATTCCAGGAGGGGAACTTGACCCTGCTTCTATATATAAAAAAATGGAATATATGCTACTTGGAAAATTTTTAAAAATGACTATTAACTGTGAACCCACAGGATTCTATTATTTAAATTATGAGACCCCACACAAAATACAATTTACGGGATTTTTATTTCAAGAGGTTGTTGCAAAAATTGTTTTCTCTATCTTTGTTTTTGAAATTCACTGGAAACAGTACAAAGAAATTAAAAAATACAGTGACACTAGAAAATAGCCACATCCACAGTGTACAAACTTGGGAAATATCTTCTAAGTATAATGATGTATGTAGATTAATTAAAGTAAAATATGGAACTGATAAATATCTCAAGACATATTCAGGATTTTTTTTTCTAAAATTAAGTTATATGGCCTGAAAATGTCAAGGTAATGAGAATGCCTATGACAATGATGTCTAGATAAGTAGCACAGACCATCCTTAGGACTCAAAATGGTAGTGTTGGTAAAGCTAAAGAAAGAATTAACTTCCATTGTTTGTTTGTTTGTTTTCTGTAACCTTACTTTCTAATTTAGAGAAACAATTGGAGATAACTTAGTTTGCAGTAAGGAAGAGTCAAACAGATGTGCATTTTCTAAATAGAATCAGCTAACAGAGATTTTTTTAAAAAATGGAAAAATTGAGACACAGAGAGCTTCATCTAGAGGTATACGGGCTTTCTGCTGTATAGCAGAAATACAGGAGGAGTAACATTGAAAACAGAGAAAATATAATATTAATATCTCTTATTTAGTAGATGTTTAAGCACTACTTATTTAGTAGATGTTTATTTTAAGCACTGTACATTTACTAACCTATTAAAGCCTCTCTACAACCCTATAAAGTAGGTATATCATTATTATTGCCTTTATAGGGACAAAGAAACTGAGGCACAGAGAAATTAAATGACACCCACGATAACTTAGCTGACAAGTATAGTCGGCATTCAAATCAAAGATAGTAGCACATCTCTAGAATTCCCCTATCTACAATGAATGCCATATTCCAAGGATGTAAAACAAAACGTATTAGTATAAGGGAATTTGCGGCAGATACATTCAAATAAATGTTGCTAGTTACCTCTGCTAGTCCTGCCCTAAAATATTATTAAATACATTGATAACCCTGATTAAACCACTCTACGTAAAGAAGGAGTTAAGGAATCAGCAAAGGGTCTCTATAAGGTAGTACAAAACAAAAATGAAGAGGAGAAAACCAGCTAAAGGCAATGCACAAAATATCAGAAAAAATTATCAAGAACATACTTTTTAAAATAAAAATCCCTAATAAAAGATACACTAGTCAAAGAAAACATGAAAGGATTAGATAAAAGAATAGATAATAAAGAGGTAAAAATACAAGTTGCCAGATGTGGAAAAATAATAGAAGTTAAAATAAAGGCATTACAAAAATAAGAGCTATCTTAAAGGCAGAAAAGATAGAATAAAAGCTGCTGGGGATGAATGAATTTGTGAAAAGTCACATCAAAATTAAGTGATTACAGATCAGATGAATTTATATACACAAATTTTATATGTATAGGAATATACATATAAATATATAATATATAATGTGTATATATAATATATGTGTATATATGTGTGTATATAATACACACATATATAAACATAAATATATAAATAAATTATATATTTATATAAATATATAAATATATGAATATATAAATATATGAATATATAAATATATGAATATATAAATATATAAATATATTTATATAAATATATGAATATATAAATATATTTATATAAATATATGAATATATAAATATATTTATATTTATATATAAATTGTATATATATAAAACATATATATATATATATATATATATATATATATATATATATGGAGAGAGAGAGGGATAATTCTTTATCTGAAATGCTTGGGACCAGAAGTATTTCAGATATTAGATTTTTTTGGATTTTGAAATGTTTCGTATACATAATGATATGTGTCAGGGATGTGACACATGTCTAAACATAAAATTCATTTACATTTCATACACATTTTATAAACATAGCCTGGAGGTAATTTTATACAATATTTTAAATAATTTTTTACAGGAAACATTTGTGTACACTGAACCATCAGAAAGCAAAATTGTTGTTTTATCAGCCACCCACTTAATCAATCTGTGCTTGTTTGGCATCACCATCATTTCTGACTCTGAATTTATCTGCTACTGATAAGCAATCATTTTCTTACACTTATTTACACATAAATACTTAATAGTAAAAAAAGACATACAATTTATACAGTGAAAAAAAAATGTGTTCACAGTAACTAAGCAGCACAGTAACATCACCAGAAAACCTGTATCAGCTGTTAAAGCAACCACCGGCTGGGCACAGTGGCTCACGCCTGTAATCCCAGCACTTTAGGAGGCCGAGGTGGGTGGATCACTTGAGGTCAGGAGTTCGAGACCAGCCTGGCCAACATGGAGAAACCCCATCTCTACTAGAAATACAAAAATGAGCTGGGTGTGTTGGTGCGCACTTGTAGTCCTGGCTACTTGTTAAGCTGAGGCAGGAGAATCACTTGAACCTTGGAAACAGAGGTTGCTATGAGCCAAGATGGTGCCATTGTACTCCAGGCTGGGTGACAGAGCAAGACTCTGTCCCCAAAACAAACAAATAAACAAACAAACAAAACAAAGCAACCACTGACAATGGCAGGCTTTCAGTCTCCACCTGTGATGCTATGTTTTGATTAAAAGGTTACTGTACATTGAATTTTATTTTTTTAGATGAAAAGAAACATCAGAAACCATTGAAGAACAAGATATGGTCCTCTAAGAATAAGGAGATCTTCTGATAGATGGCTTTTAAAAATGTTTCCTTCATAGTTATGAGCCTCATTAACAATGGTTTTTGTGTTCAAAGTCTCTCTGATTTTATGAACTGACATGATTTCTTGTTCCACTGTATATACACACTGCTCTAGTGCTTCCATTAACCCATCACACATTTCATCCTGTGGTCTATAGGCACTTTTTTTTTGTACTGTTTACATCATTTTCATTGTCACTATTATCATGATCACTTTGACTCAGAACCACTTTGGCTATTTCACCTTAGTCAAGAAATAAACTGGAGCCTCATTAGGGGTGTTAAAAAACACCTTCAATATTTACTTCTTTCAGCTTACTGAAAGACTCTAAACGTATATATTTTGCATATATAAGAAGGTCAGACATCATTTTTTTCTCACTTGACATGTGGAATTCTTCAAAATCACCACGTTGTTCATCATGATCACTGAACTTAGTCACAGGCAGAGGTCGTACCAGGCATGCACAATTGTGTCTTTAGTCACTGTGTTCCAAGCACTGGCAGCAGCATGTATAACATTCTTCATGCTAAATGCCTTTTGAAAACTCATTCTCTGCTGCTACCATGCCATCCAAAAAGTAATTTTATATTCACTCTTTATTGATTTAAGAATACCCTGATCAAGTGGCTGAATTAATGAAGTCATATTTGGGGGAAAGCACATGGCATAAAAATTATTTTTGATGAGTATTTCAGCTGGGGGACTTGCAGACACATACAGTTATCAAGAAATAACAGGCTTGCAATCATCATTCAGTCCAGTTCCCCTACAGTGAGCATGAGATACTGGTAAAAAATATTTGTGAAATTAATCAGAAAAGATGACCCTGGTGATCCATGCCTTTTTGTTAGCATCACAATGGACTGGTAAGAAGTTAACTCCTTGAAAAGAGAGAGGACTCTTTCGCCTATCTCAGCAAGTTTACACATAGTCAGGCCTGCTGCATTAGCACATCCCAGCACAGTTATTCTCTCTTGAGCATTTTTAATTCCTGTAGGGGCGGTCTCATCAGTGGTAGTCAGTGTCTTTCTGGGATAGTAACACCAAAGCAGTGATGTTTCGTCAATATCACAGGCTTATTCTAGTGTCAGATTTTCATCAGCAGTGACCTTGGCAAACTTGTTAATGGATTCTCCCACTGCTTCACAATCAGCAAATGGTTTACCACCACAAATCTTTTAACATGTACTGCCAAGTCTTTTTAAAAAAATGTCTGCTGCCATCCTGTTGAATATTCACAGTTCTCTTCAGTTCATAGTAATGGTTCTTTGCTTGTTTCATAATCAGCATACCATGAAGTGGCATGTGTGCACTGAAACTGTGATGGAGGCATTCTTTTAATACATAACCAGGATCTTCATTTTTAGCTTTCTGTAGTGTTTTCTATTTTTAATTAACTTCTGTTTAACACTTTCAGCACAGAAGAGACCTTCAACAGTTTATCCTCTGTTGCTTCAAATCATGTATGATGGTCATTTCAACACCATACTCTTCTGAAAGATGTTTTATACTTATACCACTGTTGTTTCTTCAGCAGTTTGACTTTCCGTGCTATAAACATAAATGCTTCCTCCTTCTCTTATCACTGTTATCTACAGAGGTATCTGCAGGCTTTTTTGCCCCTGTATTTTCAACAATAGCTTTATATCACCAAGTAGAGAATAAGCAAAGAAACACAGTGAGGAAAGCACACAGGTCTTGACCTCATGTGGAGAATTATGGGAAACTTGCCATTGGTGTGTCCAGTCTGCACCCACACCTTTTGTGGGTGTGCTTGCATGGGGGAATCTAGGCATGTGCAGAAAAGATATACTGCAATTGAACAGGACTGGGAGGGTCTTTGGTCCCTTGGGGATGTTGAATAAACTGTGTTTTATGCCTGCCTCTGACATGACCTATCACATGTAATCAGGTGTGAAATTTGTGACTTGTAGCATTATGCTGACACTCAAAAAGTTGTGAATTTTGGAGCATTTCTGATTTTGGGTTTTCAGATTTAGAAATATTCAAGCTGTATATAAGTATAAAGGTAGATAAAAGATTCAATTTATGCTTTCTTATTTTTCCTAAAAAATAAACAGAAAAAAACTCAACAGAATTGTCAACTATCTTATAAAAGAAACATTTATTGAATAAAACACATTGTGTCCCAGGCAAAACTGATAAAGAGAAACTAATCTCTGGAAATAACTTGGTAAAGTTACTGTTATTTCAAATAAATAGAAAATTCTGGATTTCTACAGAAAAAAAAAAACCTCACGATAACTTGGCAACTCATGATAAAGACAAAATCAGGCTGGCCACAGCCTTACTTCTTCAGTGCTAGAAGATAGTGGCACATGCAGCAAATAACTGATAATCTAATTGTGTAACTAGAAAAGCTGTTTAAATATAAGAATGACAAACATGAAACACAAAAGAAGTTGAGAAATTTAGTTTACTTGAATCATTATTGAAAATTAAAACTACTCGATGCCATAATCTATTTAATCAGAAGTTGCATCAAAATAAATAACTGGAATGGAGAAGCCATGATATAACGGAGAGGTGAAAAGAGGTGAAAATGCCTTGATGATTTTTAACTACAGAATAAAGGTCAAACTTGTAGGAATTCTGGTTATGGAAAAGACTATTGTATTGTTAACATTAAAATGTAAAAATAATAATTTGAAAATGAGAGTGTGAGAAGACTAGAAAAAAAGCAAGCATAATGTAATCAATTTATTTTATTTCAATTCAAGAATTAAAAGGAACTATAACTTATATCTAAATATATAGATAATAGCTAAGTATGTTAGCCAGAATTATAAAAGGAAATACTGAAAGGACTGAAACCAGCCTCTAAGTGCTGACAAGGAACCAGCATACTTTGGATGCCTGGGACCACTGAGGACAATAGAGATCTGGATATTGTGCCTGAGGAGAAAAGCATGTTTTCCACAAGTGTCCCCTATGGACATCTTCCAACATTTTCTTATTCTGTTTAGTAGTTTTGATTTCTGCAGTATTGATGTCAATAGTAGTAATTGGAATTTTCTAAGTGTAAATAAATATCAATATATTCTTAGCTGCAAGTAATAGAAACAAAATCCCAGTTCAATAGGTTTAGACCATGAGGAAAATTAGTTTTGTCACCCAAAAAGATCTTACAGACAGATATCTAAGGTTGTTTAGTTCAGCAGCACAAGGACCTGGGTCCTGCGACCTTTCATCTCTGCCTGTCAGTGTGTAGCTTCCTTCCAGCTAGCTCTACTCATTGTCATGCGATGACTGCAGTTTAATGTGTCACCCATTATATTACTATCACATTAATATACACAGGCCACACACAGGGAGATAATTTTCTCCTTAGTATTTCTTTTGAAATTGAGAAAAATATTTTCCTCAAATATTCTCAGCAAATTTCTCCTACTGTCGCATTGACTATAATTATGTCACATACCTACACCAAAACCAGTAACCTAGAAGGCAGATGGAATTCCCATGATTGGCTTATACTGACAGTACATCACCATGAGTAACAGGAAAATAGGAGGGTATTAAATAGACGTGTGATTTTTCAGCAAATAAGAATGGTGAGACTATCCATTGGTAGACAATTAGCAGTGACTTCACATGTTGTCATTAAAGAAAATTAGTTTTATCTATTCTTGGCCATAATGTATAAAAGTAATGTTTTTACCTGATTCTAAAAATTTGCTAAGACATCCAAAAGGTATTGAATAAAAATGGTGATGGCAAGCATCCTTAGTTCATTCTATTTGTAATGACTTGAGCACTTAACCACTTTGAATGAGCTTTGCTAGATTTTTGCTTCATAATATTTAAGAAGTTTTATTCAATGCATACTTTATCAAAAGTACAAGCTTCTAATAAAGTAGAAAACAGGAGCAACAAAAATGGCATAAAGAATAAATAAATTAAAAATAAGAATTCTTGAAAGACTATTATAATAATTTTGTCTTGCTCCAAATAACGGGAAGGGACAAGACATACTTGAATACATTGGAAGACACTCCTAATATTTGGATAATAATTTTTCCTGTTGTAAAGATGTGAATTATTTCTAAATTAATTTGTAAAATATGCCATCCCAATAAAAACAAGACATTTTTAAATTTATATGATTATATATTAATATAATGGCCAACTGGAATGATATACATGGAAGAATAGTCAGGAGACCTGCAAAGCTGAGTGCGGAGCAGGATAGAGTTAGCTGTGCCAGAGAATAACGCTAGAAGTAGGGCTTTAGCCACTAAAGTAGGATGACGCTTGTTTTTGATTAGATAGACAGAAAAATGGAACAGAAACATGTCTAAAGACACATGGACATGTAGAATATTTAAAAATTGCCATTTTATTCCAGAGATGTAAAGGTGAGTTATTTAACAAGTGTAAAATAAATGTAAAGATTGATAGATATTAGATAAAATATAAGCAGATTACTTACTTTCATATCTGTGAATAATTTCTGAAAGAGGAAAGATGTAAATATTCAAAATGAGAGACCATAACATACTGGAAAAGGCTAGTGTTCAATTTTTTAAATAGTTTTGCAGGAAGAGATGTAATTTCTAAGTATGTCCCCAAATCTCAGATTCACAAAGATAACAATGAACAAATTATACAAAATATTTTTAATTATATAAGCCAATGAAATCTTATAAGGTTTTACATAAGTCAAAAGACAACTGAAAAATTAGAAAAAAATGTTGCCATTCACTTGACAGAAAAGAAGTGTCAACATACAGCTTTGAAAAGTTAAAAAGATGACTTATATACAAATAGATAAACATGTCTCAAATATATAGTTAGCTTGTTAATGAACTAACCAAGTGTTAAAAAATTCTATTTTGACATTTGGTAATTTTCTTAGTATAAAATGAACTCTTGAAAATAAAAAGAAAAGACCCTTTGAAAACATATGCAAGGGACATACAAGAAAGTTGACAAAACAAAGTAACAATATTTAACAACTATATTAAAAAATTTTAACCTCATTTATAATTAAGAAAATAAATAGGGACAAAGAATAAAGGCAACAAAGTCACTAAAATATGAATTTCACAGAAACTTAGACACATTTTATTATCTACAACATTTTAAAAGTAATTGGTCTGGTAAAACCCCGTCTCTACTAAAAATACAAAAAATTAGCCAGGCGTGGTGGTGGGCACCTGTAGTCCCAGCTACTTGGGAGGCTGAGGCAGGAGAATGGTGTGAACCCCGGAGGCGGAGCTTACAGTGAGCCAAGATCTCACCACTGCACTCCAGCCTGGGCCACAGAGAGACTCTGTCTCAAACAAACAAAAAAAAAAGTAATTGGTCAACTCCCTGGACAGCTGACTTGAAGAAAACTTGTAAAATTGATTATTCTAAGTAAACTTTCTTTAACGTTTCTATTTCTAGACCTCTCCATTATGTTTCTTTATATTGCAAGTGTCTGCAGAAACACTTTACTAATGTAACACTGTTATTTCAGACTTTTTAAGCTTTAAAAGGATTCTTGGAACTGTTGCTGTCATACGCTAAATAATAATTATCAACATCTTTACTTTCATTTCTTGTGTAAAATAAAATCATTCCCAGTAATACTTTATTTTAATTTGCTGAAGATAAAGATTGATGTGAATAAACATTGGTTTGTGAAAATATTTGTTATCTAATCTATTTTAGTTTATGAGAATTTATAAAAAAAAATAAAATTACCACACATAAAAACAAATAACCACACATACTTATATTCTGTTCACAGGATCTGTAAATCTTCCACTGAACCTCAAATTAATTATAAATTGTAAAAGTTTTTTTCTGTTACTTTTCTAGTTAAATCAAAACACATTCATAAACAAAGGAAGACAATAAAAGTGTACTTAAAGTTATGGTTGTTATTATAAGCATTGCAGACATAGGCATTCAGCAATATCTTCATTGTATTTAGACATCTGTTTAATAACAATGTCAAAACTTGGTCATAGTTTTCCCAATGGTATTAACAAACTGAAGACTTTCTAAAGGAAAGAGCTACATTGACCTAAAAGACAATCTTTATGCAAAAGTTGAGGCTACAGCAATTAAGAAACTAGAGATATAAAGAGATGTTTCATAGTTAAACATAGATTTTTTTCTGTCTCCTCATTCTTTCTCCTTCATTTTTGGAGAAGTTCTAAAAAGTGGAATTACAAGAACAAAAGTTGTGCACCCTTACATTTTTATATGTTACTGTTTCTTAGCCTTCATTCTCCTAATTGTCAGGCATGAGACGAAGGCTTGGGTGCACATGATTAATTTGGAAATATAATCCGAGGAAGCAGGAATGCAGGACAGGATAGTAAAACAAAGAGGAAAAGTGTGTTAATTCATTCTTGCGTTGCTACAAAGAAATACCTGAGACTGAGTAATTTATAAAGAAAGGAGGTTTAATTAATTCACAGTTCTGCAAACTGTCAGGGAGTATGGCGCTGGCATCTGCTTGGCTTCTTGTGGGGCCTCAGAATGCTTCCAATCATGGTGGAAGGCAAAGGAAGAGCAGATGTCTCATACTGTGAGAGCAGGAGCGAGAGAGAGAGAGTGGGGAAGTGCCACGCACTTTATACAGCCAGATCTCAAAAGAACTCACCACCACGGAGGACATCACTAGGCCATGATAGACCCACTCACATGATCAAAACACCTCCCACCAGGTCCCACCTCCAACACTGGGGAATACATCTCAGTACAAGATTTGGAAGGGGCATCCAAACTATATCAAAAGGAAATGTATATCAAAAGGAAAACTGTATCAAAAGGAAATAAGAATATATTATTCAGAGGCACCACTTCAATCTCTGGTGCTAGATCTGCTAGCAACCGTATGATAAAATGTAGGAAATGATTCTCAGTGCTTTCTCCCATGGCATAAATTTGCTTCTTTCCCCATTAGTTAAGGGTGGCCCTTCAGATTTTAACTCCCTCTCACTTGCAGACTTCGCAGAGAAGGATGCCTTTGAAAACCCTCACCTGGTCATCACAGAAGCTCATATCTCAAAGCAAGAAAGATGCAGTAAAGCCAGATGTAAAAGGTTGTTAACTGTACCTGAACAAAACTAGCAGTGGTATCAAAAGTGACAGGTGGGGTTGAGAGGAATTTCTGGTGACATAGAAAAGTCCAATAAAATTGCCAACTTTGCCTTCAATGAAGTTATTCTAATTCAGATTTCCACCAGCAGAGTATGTTAACATCTGTACACGTACACATGCATGTGCATACACACACAGAGAGAGAGAGAGAGTAGTATTATTGTCTTAGTTTTGTGCTGCTATTACAGAATATGAGATTGGGTAATTTCTAAAGAACAGAAATCCATTTATTTCCTCTCAATTCTGGAGACTGGGAATTTCAAAACCAAGGCACTGGTATCTGGTCAGGGCATTCTTCTTGTGTTATACATGGCAGAAGGCATCACATGAGTGAGAGGGAGTAACAGGGGGCCCAACTGTCCTTTTATAAGAAACCCACTCCCATGATAACAAAGACATCCCATGATTACTGGTATTAATTCATTCATGAGGGTGGTGCCTTCGTGACTCAAAACACCTCCTGTTAGACCTCACCTTCTAATATACCACATTCAGGATCAAGTTTCCAGTACATAAACTTTAGGGGACACATTCAAACCATATCAATTATTCTTCTTAATCTTGGGATGATTGAGAAATATGGATCTTATTCTTCTAATTAATGTGAGATTTTTAAGTGTTAGTAGTCCTTTACCATTTAAATGATCTTTACTCAAAATAGTAACTATGGCTACTGAGAATACTGTTGGTTAATGTTCACTGCTTACAAGACAGGAGGCAAACTTAACTATAAACAATAGTCTATTTTTGCTGTCAGCCCATTATGAGGAATTATCACTAAGGTACATTTTCAAACGAATTAGATTCTTTCTTAAGATAGTTTCATCAAGAAGAAAATAGAATGAGTTTAAGATAATAGATTATCAGCTTATATTGAAATCCTGGCTCCTGCTCCAAGATGGCCAAATAGATGCAACCAGAGGGAACATCTCCCATTGAGGGGCTGGGACATCATGAAGACTTGCCACTCCTAGCAGATCTTCAGAGGAAAGGCACTGAGAGCAAGGAGGGAAGACAGATGCTAAGCTGAAGGGGGAGGAAGCTGGGTACCCTGCCCAGGGCTACTGTGCACCACCACTCATTCCTGGCTTCCAGGGACTCCTGCAGATGGTGTGAGTTGAGTGAGCAAGGAGCAAGCTGCTGTCCTCACTGGCCTCTGGAATCTCAGCAGGAAGAGACCCTTTGACCACCATGGAAACTTGACTTGGTAGGGAGTGCTGCTTAGATAAGTGGTATGGGCACAACTTCAGCCAGTGTGGAACCCAGTGGTGGAGCATGGCCAGGGATGCCCATCCCCCTAGCCTCGACTTGCTGTCATTGGAGACTTTAGCCCTAGAGGAACTGTAGGGCCTGAACTCTGCAAGTCAGTCTTGCCCATGAGAGGAGGCCAGTCCAACTTGAGCACCCCCAGTCGGCTGGCCTCTCTCAGGGCCCAAGCCTGACTGCACCTAGTACAGAGACCAGGAACCTCCTTGGGGCCCCAAGCTCTTGTGCTGGTGGACCTTGCCTGAGCTCTGCAGTAGAGCAGCCCGCAGGCATGCACCAGTTGGCCTGGGCCCTCCCCACACTGCAGCCTCCCCTGTGCTGTGGTTTAATCTTCATGCACTCGCCTATGGCCACCCCCTACATTGCTTTGCTGGTGTGTGTGTGCGTGGGCAGACCTTGCCTTCTCTTTCCCACCACTGTGCATGAGCCACCTACACCCTATGGTGCCACTGCTGTGGGCCTGAGTGTACCCAACCCCCACTGCCCACTGCACTGCTGTTGTCCTTGGCAACAGGGAGCCCTCCAGCCCTTTCCTCACCAGTGCACAGGCTCTGTGCCAACACTGCCACCTGCAAGTCATGAAACTATGCATGGAGAACAGTGGACCTGTCCCTGCCCTGAGCAGTTATCACGGCCAGCATGAACATCCACAGAGGGCACACACAGTCCTGCACACACCAGCGACCCGCGCCTGTGCTAACATCACCACTGGAGTGAAGGCATGCACAGTCCCTGGTGGGGCCTCACAATGCCTGTAGCCCTTCTGCCACTGCCACTGCTGCGAATGCCCACATGGAAGCCAGCACCCGGCACCTGCTAGCACCCAGCCATAGCCCAAAAGCATGCACCCTGCCACACTGCCTATGCTGCTGCTGCTGACAGGTGGGAAGGAGGAGGGATCCCACTGCCACCGCCCTACGAAGTACTTTGAGCTGAACTGAAGGAGACTGAGACACAAAAAAACATTCAAGAGACCCACAAATCCAGGAGCTAGTTTTTTGAAAAACTAGATGGACCACTAGCTAGACTAATAAAAAAGAAAAGAGAGAGGATCCAAATAAACACAATTAGGAACAACAAAGGGGATAATACCACTGTCACCACAGAAATACAAATAACCAGCAGAGACGACTATGAACACCTCTTTGCATACAAACTAGAAAATCTAGAAGAACTGGATAAATTTCTGAACACATACACCCTCCCAAGACTGAACGAGGAATAAACTGATTCCCTGAACAGACCCATAACAACTCCAATATTGAATCAGTAATAAACAGCCTACCAACGAAAAGAAGCCCAGGACCAGACAGATTTGCAGCTGAATACCCGATATATATACCAGATACAAAGGAAGATGTGGTACCATTCCTACTGAAACTATTCCAAAAAATTGAGGAGAGACTTCTCCCCAACTCATTCTATGAGGTTAGCATCTTCCTGATTCCAAAACAAGGCAGAGACACAGAAAAAAAAAAAGAAAAAGAAAAAAAAAGAAAACTTCAGACCAATATCCTTGAATACTGATGCAAAAATCTTCAACAGAATACCAGCAAACCAAATCCAGCAGGACATCAAAAGGCTAATCCAGCACAATCCAGTAAACTTTATTAGTGGGATGCTAGGTTGGTTCAACATATGCAAATCAATAAATATGATTCAACACGTAAACACACAAAGTCACATGATTATTTCAAGAGACAGAATAGCTTTCAATAAAATTCAATATTTCTTCATGTTAAAAACCTCTCAGTAAACTAGGTATAGACAGAACATACCTCAAAATATTAATAATAAGAGTCATTTATGACAAACCCACAGCCACCATCATGCTGAATGGCAAAAGCTGGAGGCATTTCCCTTGAAAACCAGCACAAGACAAAGATGTCTTCTCTTGCCACTCCTATTCAACGTAGTATTGGAAGTCCTGGCCAGAGCAATCAGGCAAGAGAAAGAAAGGCATCCAAATAGGAAGAGAGGAAGTCAAACTATCCCTGTTTGCAGATGACATAATTCTGTATTGAGAAAACCTTATGGTTTTGGCCCAAAAGCTCCTTAAACTGATTAACATCCTCAGCAGAGTTTCAGGATACAAAATCAGTGAACAAAATTCCCTAGCATTCCTGTATACCAACTACCACCAAGCTGAGAGTCAAATCAGGAAAGGAATTCCATTCACAATTGCCACAAAAAGTAAATAATACCTAGGCATACAGCTAACAAGGGAGGCAAAAGATCTTTACAGTGAGAATTACAAAACACTGCTCAAAGAAATCAGAGATGATACAAACAAATGGAAAAACACTCCGTACTCATGGATGGGAAGAATCAATATCTTTAAAATGGCCATACTGCCCAACCAATTTGCAGATTCAATGCTATCCTATCAAACTGCTAGTGACATTCTTCACAGAACTAGAAAAAACTATTTTTAAAATTCTTGTGGAACCAAAAAGGAGCCTGAATAGCCAAGGCAATCCTAAGTAAAAAAGAAAAAGGTGTAGGCATCATATTACCTGACTTTCAAACTGTGCTGTAGGGCTACAATAACCAAAAGAGCATACTGATGCAATAACAGACACTGATCAATGGAACAGAATAGAGTCCAGAAATAATGCTGCACACCTACAACTATCTGATTTTCAACAAAGCTGACAAAATCAAACAATGGGGAAAAGACTCTTTATTCAATAAATGGTGCTGGGATAACTGGCTAGCCATGTGCAGAAAATAGAAATTGGACCCCTTTCTTACACCATATACAAAAACCAATTCAGTATGGATTAAAGACTTAATGTAAAACTACAAACCATGAAAATTCTGGAAGACAACCTAGGCAATACCATTCTGGACATAGAAACTGGCAAAAATTTCATGATAAAGATGCCAAAAGCAATTGCAACAAAAGCAAAAATTGACAAATGGGATTAAACTAAAGAGCTTCTGCACACCAAAATAAACTATCAAAAGAGTAAGCAGACAACCTACAGAATGGGAGAAAATATTTGCAAACTATGCATCTGACAATGGTCTAATATCCAGCATCTATAAGGAACTTAAACAAATTTACACGCAAAAAACAAATGACTCCATTAAAAAGTGGGCAAAGGACATGAACAGACACTTTTCTTTCTTTTTAAGATTATTATTAATTTTTATATCCATAGGTTATTGGGGGAACAGGTAGTGTTAGGTTCCAGGAGTAAGTTCTTTAGTGGTGATTTGTGAGATTTTCGTGCACCCATTACCCAAGCAGTGTATACTGAGCACAATTTGTAGTCTTTTATCTCTCATCACCCTCCCACCCTTTTCCCCTGAGTCCCCAAAGCCCACTGTGTCATTCTTATGCCTTTGCATCCTCATAGCTTAGCTCCCATTTATAAGTGAGAACATATGATGTTTGGTTTTCCATTCCTGAGTTACTTTACTTAGAATAATTATCTCCAGTCTGATTCAGGCCTCTGTGAATGCCATTAATTCATTCAAGGAAGCTTTTTCTTCTTCTTAGTCTCTCAGGAACCACTGGGGTTATTAGATTATGAGAGTCAAATCCTTGGTTTTATTTAACTCTCCTCTCTCTGTTTGTCAAGCACAATTTTTGTGTGTTTATAATTTGTTATGTTTCTTTAAACAGAGGGCAGAGCATGACCACACCAAAAATGTAAAGATAAACTGATATTGACAGCTTACTTTGTATCCATTCCTCTCTAATATTAATAGTTTGACTGGAGGTGAGAATAGCTTGCTATAAACACAGTCCCAGGAGTCCTCATTCAGCTTCAAGTATGTGTCTGTGTGTGTGGAACAGACACATTTCAAAAGAAGACATACATGCAGCCAACAAGTATATGAAGAAAAAAGCTCAATATCATTGATCAGAGAAATATAAATAAAAAACACAATAAAATATTATCTAACACCAGTCAGAATGGCTCTTATTAAAAAGTCAAAAAATAACAGATGCTGGTGAAGTTGCAGAGAAAAAGGAACGCCTATACAATGTTGGTGAGGTTATAAATTAGTTCAACCATAGTGGAAAGCAGTGTGGCAATTCCTTAAAGAGCTAAAAACAGAACTACCTCTTGACCCAGCAATCCCATTACTGGGTATATAACCAAAGGAATATAAATTGTTGTATCATAAATACAAATGCAGCACTATTCACAATAGCAAAATAGGATGGAATCAACCAAACTGCTCATCCATGGTAGACTGGATAAAGAAAATATGGTACATATACATCATAGAATACTATGCAGCCATAAAAAGAATGAGATCAGATCCTACATAGATGGAGCTGGAGGCCATTATCCATAGCAAAATAATGTAGGAACAGAAAACCAAATACCTCATATTCTTACTTATATGTGGGAACTAAATAATGAGGACACATCAACACGAAGAGGGGAACAACAGACACTGGGACCTACTGGAGAATGGAGGGTGGGAGGAGGACAAGGAACAAAACAAAAAATAACTATTGGGTTCTAGGCTTAGTACCAGTGTCATGAAATAATTTGTACAAAAAATCCCCATGACACAAGTTTATCTACATAACAAACCTGCACATGTACCCCTGAACCTAAAAGTTAAAAAAATCCCTAATTTCAATATAAAACTCAACAAATATTTATTGAGGTGTCTGTTGTGTGTGAGAAATATAATATGTTTTATGAATATTCAGATTGCAGCATTATTTATAAAAGGAAAATAGTGAAAACTGCTTAAATGACCACTAAAAGGAGATTTTAATACTATTAAATACTACTAGATTTGTGTATTACTGTGCAGCCAATAAAAATAATGATGCATATTCCCCTTTACTGAAATGACAAGATATCTGCAACATATGGTTAAGTAAAAATAATTTATGTATAACATATTTATCACATTTTATTTTGTGTAGAAAGACAAAAGCATGTGTGTATATATAAACAGTTGAAATTTTGGTGACATGTTTCAAATTAGAAGGCAAGGTTATCTCCAGGATATAGGATTGTAAGTAATTGTCACATTCTGCCTTATAGTTTTCTATATCTCCTAAATCTTTTTATTTATTTATTTATTTATTTATTTATTTATTCATTTATTTATTTATTTATTTTTAAGACAGAGTCTTGCTCTGTCGCAGGCTGGAGTGCAGTGGTGCAATCTCAGCTCACTGCAAGCTCCACCTCCCAGGTTCACGCCATTCTCCTGCCTCAGCCTCCTGAGTAGCTGGGACTACAAGCACTCGCCCCCGGCTAATTTTTTGTATTTTTAGTAGAGATGGGGTTTCACCGTGTTAGCCAGGATGGTCTCGATCTCCTGACCTCATGATCTGCCCGCCTCGGCCTCCCAAAGTGCTGGATTACAGGCGTAAGCCACCGCACCCAGCCTAAATCTTTTATCAAAGAGTTTTTTTATTTTATAATTTGAAGAAGTTTATTATTGTTTAAAAGTACATTATTCTTTCTCTGTGATTCCCATTTTAACATTGGTTCACACAATGAACAATTTTGGTGTTGGTAAGAGAAGACTTTTGAGTGCAAATTTAAAGTGTCCAATTAAAAAGAACGTTAATCACAAGGGTATCTGTAGGTCAACTTAAGTACGTGACAGAAGATCTGAAAAATTATACAAATATTTGTTAGATCCATCCCTTCATTAGCTAAGTCAATGGATATCTACTGGGTCTACCATATACCCATTGTTATAATGTGGGAATTCTCATAGAAAAATGAATAGAACAGCCATTATTCCTCTTCTTTGCCTGGCTAGCTCCTACTTATCCTTCCTTCAAGATTTACCCTAAGCATCACCTTCTCTAATACATCACAATACATTCCCATTGTTATAGGAAGAAGAGATGAATTAACCGTTTAAATGGCAAGTGATAAGTATGCAGGGGACATATAGGAGGAATATTAGACTCTGATGCTTGGTCATTGTATTAAAGGATGGTTGAGTAGAAGTTATACAGTCAAATAAAAGTTAGGAGAATAATAGATATTTAAAGCAAGAGAAACAGAATATGCAAAGGCTCTGAGTTTTTGAGGAAACATGGGAATGTAGGAAAACAGTTGTACACATGATATAAGAGAGAAACAAAGGTCAGCATTAAAGAGTTGTAAGTATTTTAGAGAAAAAAGTATAAGAGGAAATGAACAAGCCAGAAATCAGAGTTCATCCTTGGCCTTCCCTCTATTTCCATATCATCAAGTGGTACTGATTTTCCTCTTATGTATCTCAGTATATGCTTCTTCATCTCTACCACCAATACTCTACTCCAAGTGTCTTAGTTTGCTTGGTCTGCCATAACAAAATTTCATACACTGGATGGCTTAAATAACAAGCATTTATTTTCTTGCAGTTCTGGAGGCTGGAAAGTCCCAGCTTAAGTTTCTGGCAGAATTCTGGTTCTGGTGAAATCTCTTTTTCCTGGCTTGGAGATGGCCACTTTCTCGCTGTGTCTTCAATGGCAAAGAGACAGATCTCTGCTATTCTTTTCTCTCTTTTATAAAGATGCCAGTATCCCTATATCAGGGCTCCAGCTTTATGACCTTATTTAACCTTGATCACTTGTTTACAGGCCCTGTCTTCAATAGAGTCACAAGGAGTTTAGGGATTTAGGGCTTCAACATAATCATTTAGAGTGGTGGCGAGGGCCACATTGCAGTCCGTAACACTAAGTTCTTATTATTTCTTGCCAGAATTACTAAATTATTCTTTCTAACTGATCAGCCCATATCCTCCCTTGATTCTGTCAAAATTTTTCTCATTGCAGCTGGAATCTTCTTTTTAAAATGCACATCACTATCTTGCTGATGATAACTAAATGGTTTCCCATTAGTTTCAGAATAAAAACACATCTTTAAAAACTCTGCCTGCAATGCTCTGTATGGCTCTGTCCTCATGTGCCACTCCAGTCTTATCTTCACCATTTCCTAATGCACTCTCTGTCTCCAGCCCTGGTCTTTAATATCCATGCCCCTCCCTACACCACACTGCCTTTGACCGTGGTTTTTTTCCTATGGGGAATGTTCTGTCTCCCACAGTTTTCTTTGCCTACTGAGTCTACTATTTCTTTGGACCTTAGCAATAATTATTGCATCCTCACTAAGCTAAACCTCATGAGGGAGGGGACTATGCCCATTTTGCTTGTGTTGTATTCACAGTTCCTATTAGGGAGGCTGGTGCTTGGCTGGGGTTCAATGAAGTATTTTAATAGGTTAATTAATGACAAAAAAGAGATCCAAGACTTGTTTTAGAAGACATCAAAGCCAAATGAAGCCATACCACTCGCTATGAGTTCCTTTAAGGTGGGATTTCCCAAACTGAGATTTATTAAATACTAATGTTCTATTCGATAGTAATAGATGAATTACAAAATAGAGTTCTTTGATCTCTAGAAATGCTGGGCTAAATGAGACTGCTCTGCTTTTTTTCTGCAGGTGTTCTTAGATTCTTAAAGATTATGCTCTTTAACACATCCTCTTGATCACAAAATTCTTTTATAAAACACCCTTAATATTATGACATGACACCAGTGTT